>NC_000005.10:26974487-27277517 GCF_000001405.40 Homo sapiens | reverse complement strand
TTTAAATAGCATAAGGGGTAATACATTCTACCTGAAAAAAATGAAACTTAATTCCTTTTGCAATACCACCTCCTTCCAAGTCTCTTGCTTGAGAATAAATCTGTTTGACTTTAGACTGCATCTATAAGACTGCTGAGAAACAGAGACCAAGTAGAAGCATCCACTATTATTGGCCGTATGGTCATGATTTCCACATAGGTTGTTTGGCCATAGTATAATTGAAGTGGTTTGAATTAAAGGTTATCTGGGGTTAGTCATCGATGTCTCCAGTATGAAAATGTATAGACAACCTGTCAAGTTCTACTTACATGTAATAGCAACATCAAAACCAAAAACTAAGTGGGTGCCAGATTGACCTAAATAAGAGTAACTGAGAGTTGTATTCTTAAAACTATGACTTCAGTCAATCTCAAAGATATAGAGCACACTAAGTAACTACATGCCAATATCTTGGCTGTTAGTATGGAAACTGAGCATCAGAAAATGCAAATATCCTATGCACTTCAGAGATTAGTGAACACTAACCCTAAACTGAAGTTATCTCATAGGAAGGATGTCACTCCGGTCTTCTGGTCAGGGGTTACTCCAGTCTTCCTGTCAAAGGGCAGTCTTTTGGCTGTTGTATGATCAATGAGATAGTTGATTTGAGTTTACACATTAAAATTTAGACTTAGTGTGTAATTTCAACAAATAGCATAGAACAAAAGAAATTCTAGAATTGACTCCTGAAAAATGTATCTTTAAAAAAGAAACTATTATTGTAGGAAGGCAAGCAGACACCCTAGCCTGCATGGCATTCTAAAAATACAAATAAAAAGAAAATCACATCTTCAAGGAGAATCACAGAGATCGAAACTGCCCTCGATGATTTGAAAATATATTATAGTGAGTGTTATAATATCCACCTTTAACTCACCTGCTTGAATACACAGAGTAATATTAGAGAATTATAAACAATTAGTACTTTGATTGATGCCACATCCCATATATGGTCTTTTTCCTTAAAAATATCAAGATCTTCTACCCTGCTGTGTAGTTCTTGATTTCTTAATATATTTTTTTCTGTCCTTAAAAAAACTGCATACAACAATGAAAGGGAGTCTTTTTCAAGGCTAATTGCCTTATTCGGCTCTACGCTACAAATCAGTCTGCAAAGAGCTTGTCTGTCTCACTATCCTAGGGGATGTCACACTGATCCAGCCTACTGATATCAGCAAGCTAATGAGTACCGGGGAGCAGGAAGCAGCAGTCACTCAAGATGATTTGTTGAGATATGTCTGTGCCATGAGATGAGAGATAATGTCCCCCAAAATACAGGGGCTCTATCCTTAGTGAAGCTTCTCCTGGCCCACGCTTTGGAGGTATATCCATGTATCCCTGCAAAATAAAAGCCACATTGTCCTGCCTTGCACTCACTGCTTCTAAGAAACATGTAAAATGTTCTTTAAGCTTCGTCCAATACTGTGAAAATGCATAACAAATTTGGCTATGCTACTCTGACTCCTTTAACAGGCTCAAAATTTTAAATAAACCTCATAGCAAAGAAGTTTTCTTCTGGCTTATTCAAGCTTCAGTGAAAGTAATAACTTGGCCATCATGTGTGAGTGGTTCTGATGATTTCCAAAGTGTGTTTAACTGATTGTAACATTCAATGGAGCCACACAAAGTCATGAACTGCTAACCATAGCAGAGAGCCTTAGGTTTTTCAAACAAAATAATGTATCTATAGCAATTTTAGATGTACTGAGCATGTGACAGAAGTCTCATATTGATTCCCCAAAATCGGAAGTGTGGCTGTTGTGATAGGAAGTGTTAAATGGGAGCCCCTGAAATTTCTCCATCACTTCTAGCCAAGAAAATGAATTAGAATCAAAAACACCCACTGCCTCTATGAGGACCTGTAGAGATAAACACCACTATCACACATCTGAAGAATGCAGGAGGAGTGGCCTCACTACATCTGCATTCAACTCACCTGCTCTGTTCTCTGCAGAAACCAGGACATCTGCCACGCCTATGGCAGATGACAGTGTAGTGTCATATATTTAATCATATCTTTGTCCCAGTTGTAGCCACTGTTCTCAATATGGTATGTTTAAATGATAAGATTAACCTTGCCCCTGGGAATTATCATGTGCCAGCGATTTTATGAAAGCTTTCTTCTCAATCCTCAATCAATAAAAAAGATGAAAAGCATGGCTTCTTTACCTGAGGACAGTGACAATTATAAATATTTTCTGTTTTACTTTATTACTCTTTAAACTCTTCTGTGCTGTGTCCATAAAAGAGTCAACAGGGCAGGACAGCACATTGAAACATAGATTTCAGTGTATAGCAAGTGATGTAAATGTCATCGTAAGGCACATGCATACTGGAAAGTTGGAGATAAACCCCATGAACACTCAGGCTATTTTTTATTTATTTATTTATTTATTTTATTTTATTTTTTATTTATTTTTTTTTTTGAGACGGAGTCTCGCTCTGTCACCCAGGCTGGAGTGCAGTGGCAAGATCTCGGCTCACTGCAAGCTCCGCCTCCCCGATTCACGCCATTCTCCTGTCAGGCTACTTCTATGTTAGAAAAGATTTTAAAGGTCTAATGATTTGCAGCATTATGAACATCTGCTATGAGCTGAGGAACACATTGTTGCATTTCATACCTCCTCCACTAACAAAATGTAAATATGCTCAGTTGCGTAACTAAGTTTAAGGGCAAAATATGGAGTATTTAGGGAAACTGCTTTACTACCAATGATATCTTTTAAGGCTGCTGGTTTTATATGTATCCTAGAGCCTAAGTGCTCTGCATTTAGGCTCTGCATTAAGTGCCCTGCCACTGGGCCATATGATTCACTGGATAAGATGAGTTAGAAGTAACAGTGATGGGTAAAGATGTGGCCAGAAATTCTACCAAGCTAAACTGGAGTTTGAGAAAACCCCCCTTATGATTCTGGAGCAACCAGTTCCAAGAAATTCACTCGGTTTGGGGAACAAAGAAAAAAAAAAATGCTGGCTTGTTATCGAGCCTTGGTAGAGACAAAATACCCACAAACGGTTCTTACATGGCTACACAACTTCAGTTGCCTGAATCAAATGGTGAGGCTTATGTAGCTGCAAACCATTTTATGATGAACGTATTTCCTTGATGAAATACATTCCTGAGCAGGTCCAGAAGACGCAAGAAACTACATGAACAGGCGTTTCATACATTCAGAGTATCTACCTCTTTTGCAGAACTCCATCTGTCCCAGTCCACACTTACGGACTCAAAGCATTTTCCAGAAAACAAAAAACAAAACAAAACAAAACGTGGGCCTTAGATGGTACAAGTTTAAAGTGAGCTGTTGAGACTTTCCACTTGGTATGTGAAGATATGGAAAGAGCATTGACTTCTCACCCGCATGCTACCAAACTTCAAACACCAAGCACCAGTGGAGCATTCCTGAAAGAATTAACACACTATGGACAGATATCCTCTTAGGCAAAGTGCATAGAGAAAATCTAACAATAGACCAAAAATAAGCTTAAATAAGAATCCCTCTGAACCCCACCTCTAAAACCTATCATGAGAAAAGATGTGCAAAATTTCAGACACAAAATCTACTTACCTCAGTTACGTACTGTCCTAAAAAAGACACCAAATTGCAAGATATATGAAAAAGTGGAATAAAAATAAACAATAAAACAAAAACACGTTGCTAACAGACAAAGAAATCAACAGAACCAGATTAAAAAAAAACACAGATGTTATAGAAATTAAGATGACTAAGAATATTTTGTTAAGGGCTCTAGTGAAAAAGGTGGACAACATAAAAAGGAAAATGGGTAATGGTGGCAGAGAAGTGGGAGTTACAAGGAAAGTCAAATGGAAATGGTAAAAGTGAAAACTCAAATGACAGAAATAATTACTTCAATGAGTTCAGCAAGGAAAGAATCTGTGAACTTGGAATGAGTTGGTAAAAATACTCAATCTGAAGCAAAAATAGAAAAAAAAATAGAACAGAGCATTCATGAGCTGAGTGGTGGGTGGGGCTTAGGAATGGGGATCAAATGATGTAATATACATATAACAGGAATTCCAGAAGAAGAGAGAGAAAAAAATCAATATTTGAAGAAAGGAAATATTCAAATTTTCTAAAATTAATGGCAGACACGATTCACAAAGCTCATAGAATGTCAACTGACATAAAGGCAGAGATGTGTACACACATGCAAATATGTAAGTATATTATATTGAAAATTCTAATAAGCAAAGAAAAATGAAAAAAATTAAGGCAGCTAGAACAAAAGAAAACATTATAATACAGATGGGAACAGAGGAAATAAATAATTCAGCCTTTTCATCAGAAATATGTAGAAGACAACGAAGCAAGGTCTTTAAATGGTGTATTGTTTAAAATCCACCAATGTAGATATCTGTACCTAGCAAAAATATTTTTCAAACATAAGGAAGATGTAACAACTTTCTCAGAAAATTAAACATTAAAAGAATTCATTCTACCAGAGCCATAGCACATAAATTTTAAATAATTTTTTCAAATACAAAGAATATAATGCCAGACAGAAATTTTGGATATATACATAAAAAGAAAGAGTGCTAGAAATGGAATGAATGAAAGTAAAAATAAAGTTTTTTAAAATTTTTAATGGCTCTAAAAGACTACTGTTCAAAGGAAAAAAATTGTGGATATGCCTTGTGTGTTTTTTAGCATATGTAGGTATAAACAGTACAATAGTCCAACAATAGTACAAAGAATGAGAGCGAGAAATTGGGAATTTTTTTTCGTATAGCTTTTCTACACATAAAGCAGTATACTATTATGTAAAAATAAAATCTGTTTAAGTAAAAGTGTACTTTGCAAATGTTAGGGCAAAAATAAACCATTACAAAGGAGGTGTAAGTAATAAATAAGTAAAGAGGATAAAATTGAATCATAATAGCTTATTTAGCCTGAAATAAAGTAGAAAAATAGCAGACAATCAAATGAAACAGATACAAACCAGCTAGTAAGGTTTAGAAATTAATCCAACCATATAAATAATCACATGTAATGTACATTGTCTAAACCCTCAAATTTAAAGGCACATGTTGTCTGGATATAAAACATAACCTAACAATAAACAAATAATATACTCTCTTCAAAAATGTACTTAAGATGTATACATAAAGTAAATGGATGTCAAAGATATACATTGCAAGCACTTATCCAAAAGAACCTTGAGTAGTTATATTAACACAGTGTATACTGACAGCAAGTAATATTGCCAGAAAAAAAATCACTAAATTACATTATGATGAAGGGGTCAATTCTCCATGAGAACACAGAATCCTAAATATGTATACATCCACCAAAAGAGTGTCAAAATGCTTGAAGCAAAAATTGATAGAACTGAAAGGACAAACTATAAAATTAGTAGAATATAGAAAACCTGAATAACGCTATAAAACACCTTGTTCTTAAATATATATTAATAGAACATTCTATCCAGAACTAGATTCTTTTAAAGTACACTTGTGCATTCACACAGATAGTTCATAATAAGAGCCACAATAAAAAATAAAAAAGTAAAAAGTCAAGCAATAATGAAATACACTCTTGGAATAACTGCCAATGAATGAAGCAGATGAAACTGCATGTGTACAAAGAGATTTTATATATATATATATATATATATATATATATATATATATATATATATATTTTTTTTTTTTTTTTTTTTTTTTTCCTGAGACGGAGTCTCTCTCTGTTGCCCAGGCTGGAGTGCAGTGGCATGATCTTTGCTTACTGCAACCTCCGCCTCCGGGGTTCAAGTGATTCTTCTCCTGCTTAGCCTCCCAAGTAGCTGGGATTACAGATGTGTGCCACTTAAATTAAAAAGAATGCCAGTTTTCTTCACACCACCAATTGCAATATGATAAAAATGAAAGATTTATACTTATTTAACATCGTGATTTATGTTGACATAAAAATAATAGCACATGAATTATTTTTTAAAAAGTAGATATATCTAAAGAAATTATATAGCAAATACAGTAAAAGTGGAAAACATTTTTTTCATCTCATTTAAAAATTACATGCCAAGTTAATTACTGTTAATAGAGGGTTGTACATGTGTGAATTCTTCCATGAATTAATCTATACAATATCTGAAAGTGAATGGTATGAAATTCAGTATTATGACTTTTTTTTCCCCACTAATTATATGTATTAGAGAACGTTCCTGGCTAGGACACATATAGCTACCTCACCTTACCTTTGAAGAGGTGTTTAGTATTCCTTGGGATTAAGCTTCCATGTTTATTATTTAACCACACATCTCTGGATGATGGTTACCGGTTTTCTGCTGTACCAATACTACACTGGAGAGATTTAGCTTTACTTCTTTGTGTTCACTTGCAAATATTTTTGTTTGAGACATTACTAGAAGTGGAATTTCTATGTCAAATATTTATTAGGTTAAACACTTTAACATATGTGCCAAATTGCCCCCCTCAAAAAAAGTACCATTATATCTTTTTCTAAAAATATATGAATGTCTATATCCCAGATTCTAGTCAACCTGCAAATTATCAGTTTGAAATATAATGTTAGGGAAGGTCTCATGGGCATGTCAGAGAGGTCAGCGTTGTACAGAAACTCACAGGTTTGATCTTACTTGTGCCACTATACTATAGTAATTCTTAAAAGAGAGAAAGAGCTTGAACATCAGGTAAGTAATGTACTGATTTTGAACCATTATATTCAGGCTGAATTTTACCTTTTAAATTCATGTATATTTTTCATATTTTTCAGTGGTGAAGTTGTTTAGAAAATGTGTACCATTGACTGGGCGCAGTGGCTCACGCCTGTAATCCCAGCACTTTGGGAAGTCAACGCGGGTGGATCATGAGGTCCGGAGATCAAGACCATCCTGACTAACACGGTGAAACACCGTCTCTACTGAAAATACAAAAAATTAGCTGAGCGTGGTAGCATGTGCCTGTAGTCCCAGCTACTGAGAAGGCTGAGGCAGGAGAATGGCGGGAACCCGGGAGGCAGAGCTTGCAGTGAGCCGAGATCGCACTACTGCACTCCACCCTGGACGACAGAGCAAGACTCCATCTCAAAAAGAAAAAAAAAAAAAAAGTGTAAATTATCGCTATCTGGTTCAATTACGTGAATAAAAAAATCATCAAATTGTTTTGCTACTACTGACAAGAATGATATAAATGATTACTATTCATATATATAAAACATCCATATGAAAATTAGTAAGAAACATTTGTATACATAGTGTAATTATTCCTTGTAATGTTAGTTCACTCATAATGTTATATTGTGTATTGTCCCTTGAAACATTTGTTTTCTCCATATTACGTAAAAGAGTCTCATTTACCTTTTGTTTTAAGCAGGGTTAACTGCAAGCCTGGCTAGAGTTTTTGTGGCCAAATGAGAGCCCTCGGTTCTTTCATAAGAATTCACGTCGAATCCCTTGAACTATACTGAAATTTCTACTTGTGTCATACAGATATATTGTGTACATAAGAACTGTGCACTGAAACTAGTTTTGCTTCTGAGTGGTTGTGGGTGCTAGAGAAATGATGTGCCATCTGCCAGTTTTCTAAGTTTAAAAATGCTGTTCAGATTTACTAAAAAGCCCTTTGCCAAAAACTCTCAGTTAAATAAATGACTTTGAGAAGAAAATCATTAACAATAATTATCAAAAGCATTGTTATGTCTTCACATTAACAGGGAATCCAAATTAGTGGGGAAATGGAAAAAGCTCAAAATATATTTTTCTGGGGATATTTCAAAACGATGGTGGTGTTATGGTCCTACAATTTGTACGGATACCATCACTTGGTACCATATCATTGTCACAGTGCGCAAATGATGCTATCATAATGAAACCATTGAGTGGTCACTGGGATGTAAGGGTATACTGGAATATTTGAAAGTATTACTGGTGGGCACACTCTGGATGCTGCCACTCGGCTACCCTTTAGTAGCACTATCTCTGTGCACATGGTTCATATTTCATGCCTGGGCACAAGTTCAGCCAGCAACGGCAACCCATCCCCTAATCACTCAAGGCCTTGGCTGTTGTCATCTGCCCAAAAACACCAAGTCATTTCTAGGCTTTCAAACTCATACATTGGAGAAAAGAAATATAGATATTTCTCAAAAATAATGCAGAAGACTGACAGAATAATATATGTGCTATAAGAAATGTAATTCAGAATGCCTGGCTTTCATTATAGACACACGCCTAGGGAAGAAAATTCAGCAAATCATTTGATACAAGTTTTTTATATGAAGGAACTATAAATATATGTTTACTCTTCATTGTTATCCTGAAGAGTCTAAGGGAAAAACCTAATCTAGTTCAATTCCGAAATCGTTTTTGAGAAAAAAATAAATTAGTTTGAAACCTATTAATTCTATAACAGACAGCTTATTTATCTAGAGCACAGTCTTACTTTGTTTGCAGAAATTGTTTAGTGGATTGCATTGAAGAAAAGATGATTTTATTTTGCTTTTTTATGCAATTGGTTGATACTGGTCTTCATTAAACTTTACAGTGACATCACATTTCTTAGATGCTACCAAATAAATTCAAAATGATGAAGAACCATCAATTTTTGTTCACTTTTTATCTGTGTGCATTCTAATATTTTGTTTCACAGGCTGCCTTTAAACACAAAGATATATGTTTAGAGGACTGGCTTTCCTGAAAGATGAGGGAGTTACTGTGTGTGTATTGAGGGGGTTCTGCTCACATCACAACTGAGGTAGGGGGATCGTAGTTCATATAGCACACAGCAAGATCAGAGGAAACCTAGGGCTAAATTATTTGTTGGAAATCTGTTTCTTTGTTTATAGCAGATGGAAACAGAGTCTGCCCTGAAATTCCCCCAATCAACTTGAGCACTTAGTATAAAATTCTATTATATGTATAAGATGGACTAGATTTTAAATAGCTATTTGCTTTTATTCATTTCACTAGTCGTGGCAATAGGAAAATGGACTTCAATGAACATAAGATGCCAAAGGTTCATTTGATTTTACATACATGCTAAAATATTCATAATATAAAGTTTTATGCTTTTTTGTTTTCTTTTGTTTTTATGTGTGTATTTGAGTATTCCTGAAGCATATGTTCCCAAAATATGTGACGTTCTTACTTGGATAAAGAAAATCAGAGAGCACAATGGGATTATTTTCTAGCAAAAACTTTTTGCCTTCTAGTTCCATTCTAACCTACAGAAACCAAGGCTCTAGCTAAAAAAATACTCAAACAAAACAAAATGAAAATAATGTAAAGTACGAAGTCCAAAATCTCAGCAGATGCTCTTTCATTTCTCATATTCCCATCTTGCTATGATATGCATTTGAATTAAATGTCTAGTTTTACTGACATGAAATCTAATTAAATCTTCTCATACCAAAGACTTTTCAATTGTGTTAACATGACAACTTTATGAAATTGAAAACGTAAAGATTTACAAAGGAGTATACAATTGTGATTAACATGAATATGTTTCAGTTTTAATGTAAGAATATCTTTGCCTTTGAAAATACAAAGTGAACAACTGGAACATCTTAGAATAACATTTATAAAAATCTCGTATACCATTTTATTAGACTGCAAAAAAAATTTGGTAATGAGCAAGTAGACAAGGCATGGTATGAAAATATAAAGTAATTTGATGTTTAAAACTCATGAGAATGATTGTCCGCGAGCTCTGATGAGGAACAGTTACACAGTAAAACCACATCATCATGAGAAGTGACAGCATGCTGGCAGCCCTCGCTTGCTCTGGGTGCCTCCTTGGCCTTGGTGCCCACTCTGGCCATGCTTGAGGAGTCCTTCAGCCCACCGCTGCACTGTGGGAGCCCCTCTCTAGTGTGGCCAAGGCCGGAGATGGCTCCCTCTGCTTGAGGGGAGGTGTGGGGGGAGAAGCACCGCCGGGAACTGGGGCTGCACACGGTGGTCACAGGCCAGCATGAGTTCCGGGTGGGCGTGGGCTCGGCAGGCCCGGCACTCGGAGCAGCCGGCCGGCACTGCCACCCCAGGCAGTGAGGGGCTTAGCACCCAGGTCACCAGCTGCAGAGGGGGTGCCAGGTCCCCCTGCACTGCCGGCCCACCCGCACCATGCTTGAATTCTCACCAGGACTCAGCTGCCCCCACCATGGGCTCCCTTACGGCCCGAGCATCCCCGACAGGCTCTGCCCCCTGCTCCGCCTGCACCTGGTCCCATCGACCGCCCAAGGGCTGAGGAGTGCAGGCGTGTAGCGTGGGACTGGCGGGCAGCTCCGCCTGCACCCCGGCTGGGGATCCACTAGGTGAAGCCAGCTGGGCTCCTCAGTCAGGTGGCGACTTGGAGAACTTTTATATCTAGCTGGAAGATTGTATATGCACCAATCAGCACTGTCTAGCTCAGGGATTGTAAACGCACCAATCAGTACTCTGAAATATCACCAAATTCTGCAGAGGAGAATATAGATAGCAGAGGCCAGGACAGGAAGGGCTGAATACTAGGTAGCAAAGTGGGCCATGACTCAGTGATGCCAACATGGAGGGAAGCCCACAGGGAGCCTGCACAGAATTGAGTGCCTAGGTGAAATGTTGCATAGGGTCTTGTGTGTCCACCAGCCATATACTCATCTCCACTGGCACGGCACTAGCTTGGGGCATGTTAATTAAATATCCCAGAACAAGGATCAATTTCAGAAAGAAAGGGAGATATAGTGAGCATACAGAATCCTCAAATTTACTGTGTTTAATATATTGAAGTAATTGAATTTGACAGAGTCTACAAGGAAGTGATTAAATTGGAGTTTCTATTATTACTCAGAAGTGAGGATTTGTGATACAAATTAAATGCAGTTACATGAAAATGATATTGCATGTCTGTACATCTGAATTGGAGGTCTGTGAAAGTCATGCTTCTACCCTCTACTCGGCCTTTGATAATAAAATTGCTCAATGTTTGCTTTAAGTTCTGCCGTATAATTCATTTTTGTTTTCAGTGAGCTTGCTTTTCTTCTGCATGCTTTGCTGAATGCTGACTGGATGTTTTTCCATTTAACCTTAGAAAAGCTTATCTCTCCAACTTGAGTGTTCTTTGTGTGTCTATGTGTTATGCAGTAATATTTCTTTGTCACATTGTGGCCAAGGGAAGGACTAAATCACATTATCTCTGACAGAGAAAATCACTTCCTTCTTGGGGTTACATGAAAATGGATCTCTGTGGTGCAGCTAGGGCTCCACCCCTACAGAAAGGAATAGCTGTTTAACCAGTTGCTACCAATTTTTGTAGCCAAAAATAGTCTGACTTAACAGATAATTGAGCAGACTTTCTATTTGTCTGAATGACTAATATAACTTATTTCCACATTATAAATAGAATTAATGTTTCAGGAGGGGGGCTCTTCAGACAATCTGCTGTATGTGACCTATTCAAATAAGTTTTAACCAAATTACAAAATTTAGTATAAAACATTTTAAATGTACAATACACAACTTTTAACTTGTTGAAAATAAGTATTTCCTTATTGTTGAAAAATTTAATTTAAAAATATAAATTACAGAGAAAAAATACTCAAAGTTTATGAATTTAAATCTATTGGATAGCATAAGTCCATTAAAATCCTGATAGAAAATATTAAAATCTGGATAAACAATGTATAATGCTTTTTTCAGCTTGAAATATTATTCCAAAATAAAGCCTATGATAAATCTAAAAACCGGAGTGAAACTTCATATTTTAGTGCATTCTCATGCTGCTATAAAGAACTGTCCAAGACTGGGTAATTTATAAACAAAAAAGGTTAAATTGACTCAGAGTTCCACAGGACTGGGGGGCCTGAGGAAGCTTACAATCACGGCGGAAGATGAAACAAACACCTCCTTCTTCACCTGGCAGCAGGAGAGAGAAGTGCTGAGCAAAGGGAGAAAAGCTTATAAAACTGTCAGATCTTGTGAGAACCCACTCACTATTATGAGAACAGCATGGGGGTTACCACCCCCATGATTCAATTACCTCCCACTGGGTCCCTCCCATGACATGTGGGGATTATGGGAACTACAATTTAAGATGAGATTTGGGTGGGGACACAGCCAAACAATATCACTTTACATATCATTTCAAAATTTTGTAATAGTAAATACTATGCAAATAGACTACACTGTGTGATTCAGACTTCAACTTTAAAAGGAGTCCTTGGCTTTATTACTATAAATTGAGCCCAAATATCTTCACCTATTTCTTTGGTATTTATGGCAATATATCTTGTATTTTTTTTAAAGATATACTAGTTTTTACTCATGCTTCCGGCCTGTGCCTTTTTCTGTAATTAAAGTGACCACTTTATATGGCCTCATGAAATGCCCATGAGAAAGCAGACACTGGTCTTTGTTTGCCTATGTGCTCCAAAGCATGGGATATTTTTTTCTAAGACGACATAATGAAGACCAGCCTTCAATATTATTTCTGACTGAAGATGAGATGAAATCTAAAATGCAGATTAAAGTACTTTTAATAAATGTTCAATGATGATACAGAGTGAAGTACAATATGAAGACAATTTGAAATTAATGCAGAAGCTGACATAATTCTAGGGCTCCTTTTAAAGTCACTTTACTTTTTGATCCCATTCTGCATTTAAAAAGGACACAGGCAGTTTGGCACCCACCTAGGTTACCATAATTAGAAATAATCTGAGTGTATTAGTTCATTCTCACTGTACTATAAAGAACAACCTAAGACTGAATAATTGATAAAGTAAAGAGGTTTAATTGACTCACAGTTCTACAGGCTTACAGGAGTCATGGCTGAGGAGGCCTCAGGAAACTTACAATCTTGGCGAAGCGTGAAGGGGGAGCAACCACATCTTCACATGGTGGTAGGGGAGAAAGAGAATCAAGGGGGAGGTGCTACACTCTTTCCAAACAAGCAGATCCCCTAAGAACTCTATCACAACACAGTACTAGGGGGTTGGTGCTAAACCATTAGAAACTATTCCCTTGATTCAATCACCTCCCACCAGACCTCAGTTCTAACATTGGGAATTACAGTTAACATGGGATTTGGGTGGGGACACAAAGCCAAACCATATCATTCTGACCCTGACCCCTCCTAAATCTCATTTCCTTCTCACATTTCAAAACACAATCATGCCTTCCTAAGAGTCTCCAAAAGTCTTATTTCACTCCAACCTGAACTCAAAAGTCCAAGTCCAAAATCCCATCTGAGAAAAGGCAGAGTCTATGAGCCTGTAAAATTCTGCCTATGAGCCTGTAAAATTAAAAACAAGTTAGGTACTTCTAAGATACAATGGGAGTACAGGCGTTGGGTACATGCTTCCATTCTAAGAGATAAATTGGGCAAAACAAAGGGGCTGCAGACCCCATGCAAATTCAAAACCCAGCAGGGCAGTCATTAAATCTTACAGCTCCAAAATAATCTCCTTTGTCTGCATGTTTCACATTCAGGCCATACTGCCACAATAGGTGGGCTCCCAAGGCCTTGGGCAGACCCACCCTTGTGGCTTTGCAGGGTGCAACCCCTGCAGCTGCTTTCACAGGTTGGCATTGAGTGTCTGTGGCTTTTCCAGGTGCATGGTGCAATCTGTCAGTGGATCTACCATTCTGGGGTATGGAGGACAGTAGTCCTCTTCTCACAGTTGAACTAAGCAATGCCCCAGTGAGGACTCTTTGTGGGGGCTACCCCACATTTTTCATCCAGACTGCCCTAGTAGACATTCTCCATAAGGGCTCTGCCTCTGCAGCATACTTCTGCCTGGACATCCAGGTGTTTCCATACATCCTCTGAAATCTAGGAGGATGCTCCCAAGCTTCAACTCTTTCTCTTTGCATACCTGCAGGCTCCTCACCACATCAAAATGCCAGGGCTTGAGGCTTGCACCTTCTGAAGCAATGGCCTGGGCTCTACCTGGACCCCTGTTAGCTGCACCAGAGGCTGGTGCAGCTGGGATGCAGGGCATCATGGCCTGATTCTGCATAGAGCAGTGGGGCCCTGGCCTGGCCCACAAAATCATGTTTTTCTTCTATGCCTCTGGGCCTGTGATGGGAGGAACTGCCATGAAGGTCTCTGAAATGCCTTGGTAGCATTTTCTCCATATTCTTGTCTATTAGCATTCCATTTCTCTTTACTTATCCAAATTTCTGCTGCTGGCATGAATTTCTTCCCAGAAAAATATGAGTTTTTCTTTTCTACCACATGGCCAGGCTGAAGATTTTCCAGACTTTTATGCCTTGTTTCCATTTTAAATATAAGTTCAAGTTTTAGATAATCTCTTTGTTCATGCATATTAGTGTACACCATTAGAAGCAGCCAGGTTACACATTGAATGCTTTGCTGCTTAGAAATTTCTTTCAGCAGATACCCTAAATTATCTCCCTCAAGTTCCAAGTTTAACAGCTCTCTAGAGCAGGGGCAGAATGCCGGCAGTCTCTTTGCTAAAGCAGAGCAAGAGTGGCCTTTACTTTCATTCTCAACAAGTTCCTCATATTTATATGAGACCTCCACAGCCTGGACCTCACTGTTCATATCAGTATCAGCATTTTGGTCATAACCATTCAACAAGTCTCTAGAAAGTTCCAAACCTACTCTCATCTTCCTGTCTTCTTGTAAGCCCTCCAAACTTACCCAACCTCTGCCCATTACTCAGTTCCAAAGATGCTTCCACATTTTTAGGTATCTTTATAACAATGCTTCACTTCACTGGTAGCAATTTTATTAGACTGTTCTTACACTACTATGAAGAACTACCTGAGACTGGATAATTTATAAAGAAGAGAGTTTTAGTTGACTCACAGCTCTGCAGGTTGTACAGGGGGCTTGGCTGGGGAGGCCTCAGGAAACTTACAATTATGGTGGAAGGGCAATGAAGAAGCAAGCACAGCTTCACATGGTGGCAGAAGAGACAGAGAACTATGGAGAGATGGAGAGCCAGTAAGGCATCTCTTTGATACTGGGCAAAATGATTCTAGGACCTAGGTAAAAGAAACAGACTTTCTGTCTCCTAGTCCTAGGATTAATAATACCCATTATGGCTGACAGTGTGACCATCCATACCTTGATAGGAAAACTGACACATGCTTAATGAATTTGAATATGCTCATAAGGTACTAACAATATGGTTCTACTATAGATTTATATGAAAACGTCTTCTAAAACTTGAGTAATGAATCCTAAACTGAAATTTGAGTATCAGAGGTTCAGTCTAACTGGGTCTGTGCAAAGCTCGTGCCAGCTTCTTTTAGGTTTCTTCTCAAAAAAAGCCTCCAATATTTTTGGTATCAAGCTATCTCCTATGGTCAATTTCTTATACCATGGAATTGTATCTGATATTTACTTTCAAGCAGGATTGAAAAGCCAAAGTAAACATGAAATACTAATGTAACAAATATTACTTAAATTTAGACTACATTGACTTTATATAATATACCCTCAAACTGAAAATTTAATCTCATCTTTTTTTCTGAATTAATGATGATCCATCTTGCCAAAAAAAACTCTATCAATAAATAATAAAACTATCTGTAAAGTGTTCCCAAATAGAGAACTGTACTTTTAGCATAATGACTACTAGACTATCTAGAGAACTTAGCTTAATCTAATAATGCATTGGAAGCCAAACTGTTAAACACTTTAATAATTTACTCACTTAGCCTTTGGATATGGTAAATGATAGTCCAGTTGACATTCCCTGAGGGGAATATAGCAGTATTGTTTGATAGAAGAGATCACTGCTCTCCCTATAATTCTACTGTAACATTCTCTTAACCTCCTTAGGCAAACATACCTTACTTGGTTACTACACATTTCAAAAATTTTTGTTTAACTTTCTTTAATTACTCTTTTGAAAGGTATACTCAATCACATGTTTTCATGTTAGCATCCATTGATTTTTGGGAATAAGTATAGTGAAGCACAAAGAAGTATTTATATTTTGTAGTTAAAACTTTGCCTAAATCACTTACCATTGACTCATGATTTGCCAAACTGCCATATTTGAAAAATCACCTTTTTTCATTTGATTTTATCACATTTTCTTTTAAAATCCTAGAAAACATTTTGATTCAATAGAATGTTGTGAAAAGCTGGAAATGGCTTAACCTTGTTGTTGTTGTTTTTAGATTGGCAATTAGAAGTAAAAGAAACATCTTCAATTTCATTTGGTTTTAAAAATTATGAAAAATTATGAAAACAGGGTGGAAAATCTATTTCATTTTTTAAAACCTAAAATTCTTTGAGAGACTAAGTTTCTCCCTGTGCCTTTGTACTAAATGTAATATGATGTCTATTATTTTAAATTTCTTTTTAGAGATACCATCTGGATATGTTGCCCAGGCTGGAGTTCAGTGGCTATTCACAGGCGAGATCATAAAACACTATAGCCTTGAACGCCTGGGCTCAATGATGTTGCTGCCTCTGCCTCCTGAGTAGCTGGAAGTACAGGTGCATGCCATAGCACCTGGCTTAATTCATATTTTTATCGCTGTGAAAAAATACAAGTACTCTTATCTTCCCTCCTTAAAATTTAAGCAGATGATTGTACTCACCACTGCTACCCAGCGTATACTCACAAACATAACACTTTTGTAAGGGAATGGATCTTTTGTTTTGTTTGTTTTTTCTGTATTATTTTTACCCAGCTGGTTTCATTTTTACACTAAACATCCTTAGAGACAAAAAAATGAAACAACTTTTGGGCTAAGTCCCTATTGACTGACTGAAGGAAACATGAAGATAAGATTTTTTTATTGTTCAACATCTAGAGATTTACATTGTAATCAGTTTAAAATCTACCTAAATTATAATATTTTCTTAACTCTTACTTTAATATCTCTTTTGAAGCTGTAAGGAATATTCAATCTGAGCTGTTTTTATACTTCATAGAAATTTACAACTGTCTATAGGACTAATACTTTCCTTATATTTCTCAAACGCATTAATCCCAGAATTTCCATAATAAATTTACTATCTTCACTTCCACTAACCGTGGAAGCCCTCCCCTGAGTGTTCTTTATTACCTTTACATGACACTATTCACCAAATCACTCAAGTGCTCCCTGGATACCTTATTTAATTAATCCCTTTTTCTCAGTCCCCATCAGTTGCAATATCTGACTTTCTTTACTTCAAGTAACCTTCACATTGGATTTCAACCTTTTCTTATCTGGACTACCATTATAATACTTAACTTTTCTCTATGACTCCGTTTTTTTAAACTAAATAACCACTTAAGTGAAAGAATTTGTCTTTCCTTCTCTGAATTCATCACCTCCTATTTTTCCTTCAATATAAATTTGATCATGTCACCAGTACTTGAACAGCTTGGACGGATTTTATTAAATACAGGCTAAATCTAACTCTTTCCCATAGGGGTAAGACTTTCTTTTCAACTCATTTTACTTTCCTGGCTTCATCCCTGACACCAACTCCTCAATGTCACATAGTATCACAATAATCCAAAAGTATGATTTATATTCACTAATTCAGCTCTTTGTTTTGGAGACTTCCTTGGACAAAGATTAGTGAGACAAACTTTTGTTCGTTGGGTTTGATAAAATTACATTTTTCAATAAGTCATTGAATGATATTCATATCTCCAGACAGCCTATATGTGTTTTTAAAATAGATTTTCTTTTATTTTCAAATTAATATTAAGAATATCCCGAGATCATCATCGGATTCTCAGCTTCTTCCTTGATTTTTTTTAAAGTTTAAAAAGTAATATTATCCTACCTATTTCAGGCAAGGTGAACCGGAATAAGTTTGGGATTCTTTGAGAAAAATGACTTTAATCTTCTTTTATATCAAAAATGTTGGATAAGAGATACATTCGGTTACCACTTTTTCTGTTTGACTTGGGTCCCTGAGAAGAACATGTCCTTTAATCTAATAATAGAAATATTGCAGTTCATTCCATTGTAATAGATGGTGTGGCAAATTTCAAAACTTTCTTGAAAACCTCAGATTTTAACTTTCTCATTCACTTTTCAAAATTATGTAAAATTTACCTGAGAAATGAAACAGTCCAAACCTTGTGGTACCTTATTCTCCTGATATTAATATATCAAATTTGTCGCTACAAAGGGAGGATTATTACATGGCAGAAAAAAGCAGGAATCTGAGATATTTCTAGAGTTTTTAGGCCAACGCAGCTGTTGTAGGCACAATTTTACCTCTCATAATTTTCAACCCGTGGTATTGTCTGTGAATATGTTACATTACATGACAAGAGGAATTTTGCAGATGTAATTAAAGTTTCTAATTCATTCATTTAAAATAGGGAAATTATAAAGAATTATCTAGGTGAGCCCAATGTGATTACTTGAGATATTAAAGAGGGAACAATGTTTTTTCTTGACTGGTGAGAGAAGAGGAAGCAAGAGAGATTCTAAGCTTAAGAGGGAATTAACTCGACATTGCTGGAAGCCAGCCCCATGGAAAGCATGCAAAGGAATGGGGTCAACATCAAGTAGCAATGCCTGGCCCTAGGTTACAAACAGCAAAATACAAACAAATAAACAAACAAAAAAAAACCCCAGGGACTTCAATTTTGTAGCCACAACACACTAAATTTGGTCAAAGACCTAAATGATCATGGGAGTAGATTTTTCCCCAGGACCTCAGGTAAGGAACAAAGCCCAGCTGACATCGATTTCAGCTTTGTCAGCCCCTAAGCAGAGGATGCAGTTGAGACCACCAAGACTTTGACCAACAAAAGCTGCTGAGACCTGATAAATATGTATTGTTTTAAGCTGTTAAGTGTTTGGTAATTTGTCAGGGCAGCAGTAGAAAATTAACACAACATACTTGCTCTTTCCTTGGATTTTCTTTATCACTATATTCACCTGTCAAAATACTTTTTTTTTTTATTAAGGTCCAACTCAGCTGTCACATACGGATCTTCCCGTTCTGATGAATTGTTGTTCCAACATTATCAGTCTTGAGTATTTGTATAACAAATATGTGCATTCTTGTCTCTTTAAATTATGATATTAGTTATGGCTCTGTAATCACCTCTTTCTTTCATATACACTTATATTCTCTTTCACAACTAGCAGTGTTTGGCACATCACAGACTTCCCAAAAAATATCAAGTGTGAATTGAAATAACTTTGTATATTTATCCATTTAGTCCTTCTTTTTCTTCCAAATATTCTAGACATCTCCTTTTATTTCATTCACTAATATTTATTGAGGACTTATTCTGTCCCACACTATGTTCAAGAGGTGAAGCTAGTGACTAGCACAAGCAATTATTTGCCCTAGTTAGGATTCTAGTAAGGTCCTGCTGGGGAGAGCATACACTTACCAAATGAATGAAAATGATAATTTCAGAGTGATGATCACTTCGTTGGAATGATTAAATTTAAGGTGGCAGTCTTTGATTACAAGTAAGGATAGGCTTAGGACATCACCTTGATGCCGATGACCTTGATGGTGAGACAATGATTTTATGAAGCCAGGCATGTGGAGATCTGAGCAGAAAGTTATCCAGGCTCAGGGAATAATAAGTGTCAGATGAAGTTGCAAATAAGCTCAGAATGTTCAAGGAAGAGAAAGATTTTCTGAGTATTATGCAGGCCTTGTGCCAGAAAGAAGATATGTCAGCCTTTCTCAGTGACTTTAAAGCGAGCAATTGTTGCTTCTTTATCTCTGTGCCAACCAGGCATACATAAGGATCAGGACAGTCTTATGCAGTATCTACATTTTAGAAATAATCTAATCGGACTCTAAATTGAGCCAATGTTGGTAAAATAGCATATTATATCTGTTTGATTATACCATATCCTCATCAGAGTGTTGTAATATAAACACACAGTCCACATGATTTTTTAACATATTTTCTGTTGCCTTTTTTTCTTTGAGTTAGGGAAAAAAATAATTAGTAGATTCTAACCAGTGTATTACCTCTAAAGTTGTCTTAGAATCACATTTTTTTAACTATGCCTCTATAAAAACATGTTTGAATGTGTTACAGTAGAATAATTAAAAAGAAATATTCTCATCTCTGACACTAAGTAGTTTTGTTCTAATCATGGATTTCAGTTTCTTCATCTATATGTCAAGGGAGTTAAAGAAAGTATTCTCTGATCTTTTTTTCGCTCTAAAAATGTGTGCTTTTTTGACCACATTATAGCAATGTCATGTTTTAAACTATATCCATATATACACATAATAACATAAAATGCTATATTCTTCAAAGGATCTTTTATTAAAAAGGGCTATATTGGAGTGTCTTTAAAGGATTTGAGAATCACAGATTTCAACTATTGCATCCATGGTGAGAATTTTAACCTTTTTGAGTTATCTGTGTATTCAAAAGCTATGGGTCTATAAATGTCTAACAAAAAAAAAAAAAAGAGATGATTTCAGAAACTTACTTGTAGATCATGTTGACTATTCACAATTACAATAGTTCTATCAAAAAATTATTTTAATTGCATGGTCTGAAGGATCCAATCATGAGAAATTAAAGTAATATACACTTTGAGATATTCATATATTTTCATCTTTTATCTGAGTATGTCTTTTTGATAATTGATTTATATATTCTGCCTTAATATTTCATTTTATTATAAAGATAAGACTTTTAAATTTGGTGGCAGAAACCTCCAGGGAATAGGGATAAAATGTTTCACAAACTTAAACTAAGGAGATAATTTCATATCCTGATTTTGTGGCTGTCACATTTTCCTCTTAGAAATAGATCATGAAACTTTTCACAAAATAATATTTCTAGATTCTTGCTCTCCATCATCATTTGGCCCTCTCTCATTTGAAATTCTCAGAATAGTTAAAAGGGTAAAAACGCCTGCAGTCTAATCCTTACTGCATTACATTTGCTATATTTCTGTCACCGTTGAAACCTTTGTATAAACTTCAAATTTCACCTCTGCAGTTTTCAGTGGGTTGAGGTAGTACAGTCTGTGTACCACATGCTGAAATGCCAAGGCTTCACTGGCATCTTTGTTAACTGAGGAAATATGGCATTTCACCCCCAGCCTGGCTCACAGTTTCTATTTTATTCCTTAGACACATTTTGCCTAAGCATTAAAAATTGCTCCCAATTATTCAATAAAAATGTACACCAGGTTTCTACAGCTAAAAGGCAAGCTATCCCTTTTTTCTTTTTAACCTTCCTTCCTTCCTTCTTCCTTCCTCTCTTCCCTTCTTGCTTTCTCTCTTTTTTTCTTTTTCTTTCTTTCTTTCTCTTTCCTTCTTTTTCTTTCTTCTTTCTTTCTCTTTTTTCTTTTTCTTTTTCCTGTTTTCTCATTTTTACAAAACATAAGGGTACCACTTTTTAATTTTCAACTTTGATTTTTCCTGAAAATCATCTGCTATTAATATTTACTTTCCCAGTTTTCTATTTCCCCTCAGAAAAGTTATGTTATTGCCATATTTTCATTCTTACTGTGAAAAAAAGGGTGACATGCAATATTTTATTTTTAAATATACTTTTTAAAGGCTTCACAATGGATGGAGTCTGTTAATGTATAGCCATTAAATCACAAATTTTCAGCTACCAGAAAGTCTACCACACAGTGAAAACTGGCTGTCAAGCATAATAACAGGGTCATCACTGCTATATGTCAATCATTTTTAACAGTATAAAATGTAGGGTGTCCCCCTTATCTTAAACTAGGCCTGAAGCTTAGTTAATCCTTTATTAATAAAGATATACTCTAATCCCAAAGTGGAACAAGTGATTTGGGTAATATATTTTATAATCATAAATCGATTTTTAAAATAAGTTTTAAAAATATAGAAATTAAATCACAGTGGTTGTGCACTTAACAATTATTTTATTATGTAATTAGTTGTGTGTGGATAAGAGCAAGAAATCCAGAAGCAGACCTTAGTGTTAGAATCCCAGGTAAAGGAACTACAGGTTTATACTATTCTACAATTTAGTAAACTTCTTATTGTCTCAATTTGTTTTTCTGGTAAATGGGGCTTATAATGATGACATATATATATATACATATATTTATACAGACACATATAATGAGAGGTGATAAGAGTACATATATATTTATACACAGCATATAATGAGAGGTGATAAGAACATGTATATACATATTTTTTTATTATACTTTAAGTTTTAGCGTACATGTGCACATTGTGCAGGTTTGTTACATATGTATACATGTGCCATGTTGGTGTGCTGTACCCATTAACTCGTCATTTAACATTAGGTATATCTCCTAATGCTATCCCTCCCCACTCCCCCCACCCCACAACAGGCCCTGGTGTGTAATGTTCCCCTTCCTGTGTCCAAGTGTTCTCATTGTTCAATTCCCACCTATGAGTGAGAACATGCAGTGTGTGGTTTTTTGTCCCTGCAATAGTTTGCTGCAAATGATGGTTTCAGCTTCATCCATGTCCCTACAAAGGACATGAACTCATCATTTTTTATGGCTGCATAGTATTCCATGGTGTATATGTGCCACATTTTCTTAATCCAGTCTATCCTCGTTGGACATTTGGGTTGGTTCCAAGTCTTTGCTATTGTGAATAGTGCCGCAATAAACATACGTGTGCATGTATCTTTATAGCAGCATGATTTATAATCCTTTGGGTATATACCCAGTAATGGGATGGCTGGGTCAAATGGTATTTGTAGTTCTAGATCCCTGAGGAATCACCACACTGACTTCCACAATGGTTGAACTAGTTTACCGTCCCACCAACAGTGTAAAAGTGTTCCTATTTCTCCACATACTCTCCAGCACCTGGTGTTTCCTGACTTTTTAATGATCGCCATTCTAACTGGTGTGAGATAGTATCTCATTGTGGTTTTGATTTGCATTTCTCTGATGGCCAGTAATGATGAGCATTTTTTCATGTGTCTTTTGGCTGCATAAATGTCTTCTTTTGAGAAGTGTCTGTTCATATCCTTCGTCCGCTTTTTGATGGGGTTTTTTTTTTTTTTCTTGTAAATTTGTTTGAGTTCACTGTAGATACTGGATATTAGCCCTTTGTAGATGAGTAGATTGCAAAAATTTTCTCCCATTCTGTAGGTTGCCTGTTCACTCTGATGGTAGTTTATTTTGCTGTGCAGGAGCTCTTTAGTTTAATTAGATCCTATTTGTCAATTTTGGCTTTTGTTGCCATTGCCTTTGGTGTTTTAGACATGAAGTCCTTGGCCATGCCTATGAGTGAACTCCCATTCACAATTGCTTCAAAGAGAATAAAATACCTAGGAATCCAACTTACAAGGGACGTGAAGGACCTCTTCAAGGAGAACTGCAAACCACTGCTCAATGAAATAAAAGAGGATACAAACAAATGGCAGAACATTCCATGCTCATAGGTAGGAAGAATCAATATCATGAAAACAGCCATACTGCCCAAGGTAATTTATAGATTCAATGCCATCCCCATCAAGCTACCAATGACTTTCTTCACAGAATTGGAAAAAAACTACTTTGAAGTTCATATGGAACCAAAAAAGAGCCTGCATTGCCAAGTCAATCCTAAGCCAAAAGAACAAAGCTGGAGGCATCACACTACCTGACTTCAAACTATACTACAAGGTTATAGTAACCAAAACAGTATGGTACTGTTACCAAAACAGAGATATAGACCAATGGAACAGAACAGAGTCCTCAGAAATAATGCTGCATAACTACAACTATCTGATCTTTGACAAACCTGACAAAAACAAGAAATGGGGAAAGGATTCCCTATTTAATAAATGGTGCTGGGAAAACTGGCTAGCCATATGTAGAAAGCTGAAACTGGATCCCTTCCTTACACCTTATACAAAAGTTAATTCAAGATGGATTAAATACTTAAATGTTAGACCTAAAACCATAAAAACCCTAGAAGAAAACCTAGGCAATACCATTCAGGACACATATATACATATATATATATTTATTGACACTGGGCAAATAAGATCAACAGCAGTTTCTAGGTCACATTTATTCACAACTGGAGGAAGGAGGACACTGCTCCTTTCAGGAGCACTTGAGGGTTGCATTTGTGAATAGACTGAGCAAGCAGGAATTATGTGAAGAAGACTTTGTAGTAACAAGAGGTGAGGTGGCTCCTGCTTCCTGCAGGAGGATGTAATTGATGGATGTAATTTGAATAATTGTGTGTGCTGGCTGAAAGTGAAGCTCATTAGGTTGTCCAATTGATAGAGAAATTATCTGAGTAGAGAGCATATGTTAACAATTTTGATATGCAAGGCATTATTAGTGATCAATGTTTGTGGAAGAATGAGGGAGAAACCAAGATTAAGCAGTGAGAGAAGACAGACTGTGGTATGAGGCCAAAGAAGTCTTGACCAATTCCACCCAGGCCCCGTCACACAGAGTCTTCAGAATTCCCCTGTCCTGAGCCAACATGGCAGTGACTTACTTACCTGCTATAATGAGACTTTCGATATGAGTCACCCTGGGAAGGATGTGCTCTTGTTCAAGTCAGTTGTCTACAGCTAAAGAAAATTCAAAGCAGTTGACCACAGTCTGCTGACACTTCTAAAACCTGGCCAGCACCCTTCTTTGTAGAATAAATAGGATGGTGCACCTTTGTGTCCATAACAGATAATATCTTACTCTACCTGGAGCCATGTGACACATTTAAGGCAAGCTCCTTCAAGATTCCACTAGGCTTCTGTTCCTGGAAAGTATGTATAAGAGGAGAATTAGTAGTAAGACTGCAGCTCCTAGTTTTGGCTGTTTGAAGGACCATATTCAATACTCGCCACCTTCCACCTCTACTATTCATTCTCTTTTCTCTTCACCCTTAGTAACCACATCTGATTGACTAGTGACATATCTGGAATGTGACCTCAGCCCTAATTATTGTTGTTATCTTTAAATGTACTTTAAAATGTATGCAGATGAGAAATAACTTTTTATTTTAAAAAATAGTTCCCAAACAACTGCACATATATTTACTAATCTTCAAGGTTATTTTCAGACATCAAGGCAAAATGTGGAAAATGGAGAGAGACTCCTTAAAGAAAGGAAGGAAGCATACAAGGAAAAAAGGAAAACGTAAAAAAGATCATCAGATATTCTATGTCTATGAACCATTAACATGTTAAAGCTTCAAATGTTTAGGGTTGTTGAGTTTCTTTCCCACCATTAAGAACTGCTTGAGCAATATACGTAATGTATGGGCAACTTGTCACGTACTTATCAAAAAGTTTGGCATAGTTTATATATCTAGTTTATAAACTGGACTAAACATGGAAATGGAACTACAAAGTGACACTTAAGCCTTTTGATCTGGGCATTACATTCTCGGGAAAACTGATTTAGTTTTCTTAATAGAAGCCTGCTCATTACATAAGGCCAAATTGAGAAGTGTTGGTGCATTTTTTCACCCTCAGTGCTACATTATACCATTCCATTGACAGTAAAGTATCTCCTGCTGTGACAAGTATTGATCTTATTTTTCCTTTGAGACTGCTAACAAGCCAAACTGTAGCTTCATAAAATATTCAGCTGGAGCAGTGGTTTGTCAGAACTATAAGTTAACAAGAAATTTACTTTTATTCTCCCATGGAAAAATAAAACACAATTAGTAATCTCCATGTATTTGTGGATTACATAATTGTTTTATCATCTAAATGATTGAATGATCTAAGAATTGAAGCCAATATTTTTAATTTTCATCTTACTTAAGTATATGTGTGATTTGTCTAGAGAAAATAAAAAATCAACATGTTATATAATATAGTAAGACTGAAAGAACAAAATTGAGAAAATTACATAGCTTTAAATCTATCATGAAATAACATTTCAATGTACAGTTTTAAAGTTATTCTTATACTGAAATGTATTTGAAATTAAATATTCTGCCTAAACAATAAGAAATCAAGAAAACATATTTAAATGTCTCTTTATTTATTACCTATGTCATGCTTTTGTAAACACCATAAATAAAGTGATTAAATAGAAGATTTAGAGTATTGTTGATTGAGATTTAGTTAGGATATTAAGTAATAGACATTTGCAGAAAATTATAGTATTAGTACAATGCAATTATTAGTGACATTTGGTCTAAGGAATTGTCATAAAAATAAGAATACAAATGTCTAGAACACTAGAAATTACAGTTAACAAATGCATAAATGTATCACTTATTTCAAGAAAATCACAAACTTTGGAATGGAAAGCCATTCTTAAATGAAATATTTCAACTTTCCTCAAAGTTTGCAACAATGTAGTACATTTTCACTTTTAAAATTTGAAACATTACAGTACAGTTGACCCTGTCTATGAATGGGTTCCACATGCATGGATTCAACCAACTGCTGATGGAAAATATATTTTTTTAAAAAAAGGATTTTTGTGTCTGTACTGAATATTTACAGAATATTTGTTCTTTATACCTTAAAATACAGTATAACAAATGTTTACATTGTATTAGGTATTATAAGTAATCTATAAAAGATTTAATATATACAGGAGGATATGCTTAGGTTATATGCAAATCCTACACCATTTTATAGAAGGTATTTAAGCATCCATAAATTTTGGTATCCTTAGGGGTTCTGAAACAAATCCCTTATAGATATCAAGGGACAACTGTGATAATTCACCTCCTGAAATAACCCTGCTTATGTAACTACATATATTCAATTATCATTTAGGAATAAGTTATTCACTAGTAAATGGAAACAAATATAGAAATAATGTAACAACAAATGGATTATTCAGCCCTTTTACTCAACTTAACATTAATACAAGGAAATAGTCTATTGTTTCAGAAACCTCCTCCAGAAAATGGAAAACAAATGCCATAATATTAAGTAGCTACAATCAATATCTAAATTATACAATATGCCATTCAATGCTTTTATTTATTTAAAAACTACTTTTTCTAGCTCTTATAGGTGTGAATGTTATAGTATGCCATATACTTACAGACTACAGTCTATAATTTATCAATTTATCCTTTTTGAAAATCATATATTACATAATAAATTTGCATCCTTTGAAAAAAAACTTTTCATTTTTGTACAAATTTGCTATAGTAACTCCAATTACTAATTATCTTTGTCCTAGGAGAGACTCTGCACACACAGGCGTCTATTCATTTCGTTGAGCACTGAAAATTTCCAAAATACTTATACGCTTGAATTTTAAAAGTACGATTTTAACAAGCGTTGGCAATTCCAACCTTGATCTTAAAATAATAGAATAAAATTTCACCCATATCAAGTAAAGTAAGAAATAAACCAGATACGAATTTTTTGCTTTCAAGAGAGTTCATAAGAAGAGAAGTTTCCTTACCAGTCACCTAAACTGACATTTAGTGTGAGGAAAGAGCATCCACCTATGTGATTAAGATTCAATCACCGTATCTCCTGTGAAGTTGTTGTTGGTTTTTTGTTTGTTTGTTTGTTTTGAGAGGGAGTCTCACTCTGTCGCCCAGGCTGGAGTGCAGTGGCGTGATCTCGGCTCATTGCAAGCTCCGCCTCCCCGGGTTCAGGCCATTCTCCTGCCTCAGCCTCCTGAGTAGCTGGGACTACAGGCGCCAGCCAACACGCCCAGCTAATTTTTGTATTTTTAGTAGAGATGGGGTTTCACCGTGTTAGCCAGGATGGTCTCTATCTCCTGACCTCGTGATCCGCCCGTCTCGGCCTCCCAAAGTGCTGGGATTACAGGCCTCAGCCACCGCGCCCGGCCTGTTGTTGGTTTTTTTTTTTTTTTTTTTTTTTTTTGGCAAATAAAAAAAAAAAATGCCATGAACTAAATATCCTTTAAATTGACTATAAAAATCCCTAACAGCCTAAAGGAAGGAAGACAAAAGATTTATGCATGCAGTCTATTCATGGATTAAAGCTTTGGCTCATGTTTTAGAATAGCTTAGAAGACTTTGACAATTTAGTACCATGAGTTGCAAGAAATTGTCGTCAACACGAATTTTACACAATGTCTCATCTACATAGCCACATGTAATGTTTTGGACACCTCATTTATTATAAATGGGAAGACTGAAAATACTATTTTCGATTACTGTATAGCTGAGTTTTTAAAACAGTTCCTAAGGGTGTTCATATTTCTGATCTGATGGAATTCCTAAATACAATTTCTGGCTTTTGGCACATTTTTATTTCAATACAAAATTTTTGTAAGATTAGCAAAAATTCAAAGTTTTCCAGGCTTAAATAAAAAAATGTTATTTATTTAAGGAACATAATCTTTTAGTACAGTATCATTTTTGTAAGTCTTTTGTTTCTGTCATTTTATGCTGTCTGTGCTGAGGGTCAATTGACTTATGCAATTTGTATTTAATGATACATATACACTTTTCAAAAATTAAACATTTTTCCGACTTATACATAAGAAAATGTCTAGTGCCATTTGGAGATAAATGTAGGTACTGAAATATTACATTATGGGTTGATGTATGCCTGCAAATTTCTTCCGTAAAATAAATAATTAAATTAGATATGTCATTATATATGTGGGGTTGTATAATACACAACCCACAGGTTTTTACCTCTTTGAATTCACTACAGCTTAGTATACAAAGATAAATTAATTATTCTAATTAAGTAGATAAAATAGATTTCCTAATATTTTATTATCAATGGTTTTCAATTCCATATGAGAAATTCTTTGAACTTAGGTACTAATTACAGATGATGCTTTATATGTCAGTCTTGTCAAAGTCAGTTCTTAAATATCAGAATAGCCACATCACAAATATTTATGTCTTGTATTTGAAAGTGTTCCAAAGGAGAGTTATGCTTATCTAACTTCATGTTATTTTACAATGTCAAAAAGAAATGGGTCATGAATTATAAATATAAATCATAATTCAATAAATTGTTAGTCATATAACATTTACTATTCAATAACTGTACTTTTAATTTATAAAAATGAAAGTTACCCTTAATCATTGTTTTGGGTCATATTTATAATTAGTTTTGTTTTATTACATTAAGCAATTTCAGAAAATATAAATTCTGATGTGAAATGGAAAGTCCACAGTTGGCATCATGTGGATATTTTTCTTCTCTGGCTTGACATAGCTCAATTAACTGCCCTCTACTCATACTTTTTCCTAAACGAGTCCCAAATACTTGTGTCTACCTACCCTCTTTTAATCTAGTGTTCTAACAATGTTTCCTTTCCTTAGAGATGTTTGCAAAGGAGTCTCTAAGAAATTCTATCTGAAAACAGATTGACAGAACCTGGTTATAGTAGTCTATCTTTGTTTAAAATTTAAAATTCAGGGTGTTTTTTGTATTGTGTTAAAAAACAAATAACAAAATTTTTCATCTTAACCACTTTTAAGTGTACAGTTCAGTAGAATTACCTGAATTCATAACGTTGTGCAACCATCACCACCATACATCTTTGCAACTCTTTCATCTTATAAAACTGAAAGCCTACCCGTTAAAATTTATATATAAATTTAGGGAATATCATTTTACCTGTTTTGTATGAGGTCATACAGAACATTAAAAAAATCCGAAGCATGTTTTGTTTTTATTTAATGTAGTAATCATCAGTATGCGAAGGCTGACTATACACAAAGTAAAACTACTATGTACTCACAAAAATTCAAAATTATATAAAATAATACTTAAAATACATGATCATATTAAAGATAAATCTTATAACAAAAAGCCCTATATCAAGCCCTGTTATATCATTGAATGATTTTTCATATTTTAAATTGCAACTTGATTAATATTACTTTTATTGATATTTTTATCTAAATGGCATATTGAAAGGCATAGTCAAAACTGATTCTCATTACAATTGTTGCAACTGAGCAGTAATATAAAAACCAAATATTCAGCAAATGCAACAAGATCAAATCTCCTTATATTTATTGAAACATGGCTTTGTTACTAATAATAATGATAATAACTACTTTTTTGGAGATTACTACATGTAGAAAATACACAAAATATTTTACTTGCACTATCTCATTTATTTTTCATCATAATCCTATGACAAATAAGATGAATGTCCTGAAGTTATTAGTGTCATGAAACCAAAATGTATTGTCACACATACACTGTGTGTGTGTATGTCTCCGTGTGTGTGTTTTGTAAAATTGCCAAGATTCCTACTTATGAAGCGTAAGGTTAAATGGAAATTAGAAATAATATACAGTGCAAGATAACTATACAAAAATGAGAGAATGAGAGAAAGAGAGAGAGAAGTTAGCCATCAATGAATGAAGGAGTGAACTTGAGTAAAAACAAGGACAATAGAAATGCAGAGTAACAGTATCTTTTTATAACGGGCTTTCCTTTTTTATACAAAATCAATAGTTCAAACTTACTTTGTAGCTGCCATTACCCAAAATAAGTTTTGAAGTTTCATTTGTTACATGCCAGATTTGTCAAATTTGTTTAATGTCTTTCACAAACAATATTGCATAAAGACTGCATGTCAATTTTATTTTTCTTTATATTTGTTAACTTATTAATCTTTAAAGACATTTAAAATGTGTTCATGTGTAAGATGTGGAAAATAAATCACTGAAGATCAGCTAAAATAATATTTATTTATTAGAAAGCTGTCACTATAAAACATGTAATATCCCCAGAATAAATATGTATGTGGAATCTGATCTCTAAATGGCTTACATTTATTTTCTTTAAAAATAATGAATGTAACTGACAAGCCATGGGTTAATGCATATCTGATGAATGATACATATAGCTTAGTGCTTGAGCAACAAATCCAGAAATTATATCATCTAGATTTGCATCTTGATTCCTCAAATGCTAACTCTGTTAACTTGAGCCATCTACTAAACCTATGTCAAATTTCTTTCACGTGTAAAATGCAGGTGCAAATAGTGTTTACCTTATAGGTTTGTGCTGATAATTAAATGTGATAATGTAGGGAAAGTATTTACAAGAAAGCCTAGCATGAAATATTAGTTGTTATTATATGTGATAATAAAAAATAAAAATATGCAACTAAAAACTGCATTTTGGTTATAAAGTGATTTTATTTAAATTCAAAAAATTTATAGTATATATTTTGAAGTCCAGATAGCACTAATACTTCTAATTAATAAAACGGCCATTGACATACACTTTTCTCCTAATTAGAGGAGAGTTTTTACTCTATTGTAAAACATAAAACGAAAACTATGTGATATATTCAAACATTATGTTAAGTCATGTTTCGTCTTTTCATCAACTATGAGCATATGAATATATATTGTGCATTGTTGAAGTCATTTAGACTTCATTTTTAAGCTTCAAATTGCATCCCTTTACATCCATATCAATAAACAGGCTGAGCATCCCAAATTTGAAAATTTGAAAGTTTTTGAGAACCAAACTGATGCACAAAGGAAATGCTCCATGGAGTACTTCAGATTTTGTATTTTTGGATATAGAATGCTTAACAGTGTAAGGTAAATATTCAAATATCTGAAAAATTATCTGAAATCTGAAATACTTCTGGTCTCAAAAATTTCACATAAGGTATACTCAACTTTATCTGAAATTATATATATAATGGCTGAGTAGCCTTTTATATATACACACATATACACACACACACGTATATATATATAAACGTACTCACACAAACACACATATATATTTAAAAAATTTATATTCAAATCTTAGAATTGTATTGGTGTAAGATACTACAGTTTTCAGTCTTCTCTAACTAGGATTATTTATTTTAAAAACTCTTATTCCATATTAGTACCTACAGAGCATGCCACTTTAACCTTTTCCTATCATCATTCCCATCCTCTACTATCAAAAAAATATGTCTTAGTTCATATGAAAAAAAAAGTTCATCATCACTGGTCATTAGAGAAATGCAAATCAAAACCACAATGAGATACCATCTCACTCCAGTTAGAATGGCGATCATTAAAAAGTCAGGAAACAACAGATGCTGGAGAGGATGTGGAGAAATAGGAATGCTTTTACACTGTTGGTGGGAGTGTAAATTAGTTCAACCATTGTGGAAGACAGTGTGGTGATTCCTCAAGGATCTAAAACTAGAAATACCATTTGACCCAGTAATCCCATTACTCAGTATATACCCAAAGGATTATAAATCATTCTACTATAAAGACACATGCACACGTATGTTTATTGTGGCACTATTCACAATAGCGAAGACTTGGAACCAACTCAAATGTCCATCAATAATAGACTGGATAAAGAAAATGTGGAACATATGCACCATGGAATACTATGTAGCCATATAAAAGATGAGTTCATGTCCTTTGCAGGGACACGGATGAAGCTGGAAACCATGATTTGCAGCAAACTATTGCAGGGACAAAAAACCAAACACTGCATGTTCTCACTCATAAGTGGGAGTTTGGCAATGAGAACACATGGACACAGGGAGGGATACGTCACACACTGGGGCCCATCAGGGGGTGGGGGGCCAGGGGAGGGATAACATTAGGAGAAATGCCTAACGTAGGTGACGGTTTGCTGGGTGCAGCAAACCACCGTGGCGCATGTATACCTATGTAACAAAACTGCACATTCTGCACATGTACCCAAGAACTTAAAGTATAATAAAAAACATGTCTTTGTTATTCCATCTATATATCCCAATCTTGGAAACCTTTGATATCCATATAAGCAGCCAATCCAAAACCTAATTTTTAAAAATTTTACAGCCCACAACTTCGCTCATATAGACCCCTGTGTTCCTCAATTCCAGTGACCTTGAATTGAATCAGATTCACGTTCAAAGGTATAGTGATAAAACTTCCTCTTAATACTGTTACTGTTCCAAATACGTGTATTAATCACCAACAATCTACTCTCTTACTAGTCTTTTATCTTCCTCCCTTTCTACATGATGCACTTTTTGTTTGTTTGTTTTTTGAGACAAAGTCTCACTCTGTCGCCCAGGCTGGAGTGCAGTGGAGTGATCTCAGCTCACTGCTACCTCTGCCCCTGGGGCTCCAGCGATTCTTGTGCCTCATCCTCTCAAGTAGCTGGGATTACAGCACCACCGTGTCCAGTTAATTTTTGTATTTTTAGTAGAAATGAGGTTTTACCATGTTGGCCAGGCTGTCTTGAACTCCTGACTTCAATTGATCCGCCCTCTTTGGCCTCCCAAAGTGCTGAGGTTACAGGCGTGAGCCACGGCGCCAGGCCATCAGGAAGGTTTTTAAGTAAGTTCCCTGCAATCTTCCCACCTCAGTCCTACCCAGACTTTCCGCTACATGTGTTATGTACCTTTCAATTATAGATTCTAGATGCATTTTCTTTACTTTTCTATCTCAAGACACACACACACACACACACACACACACTCACAGAGAGTTCCTTTGATTTCATAGTTTTTGATTGGAGCTCATGATTACTCCTTTTTCATTTAATTTCATTCATAGTCATTGACTAGTTCAGTTTTGACTAAGACCTTAGATTCTGTTTTTGACTAATTTTCACTCCACCACTTTTTAATTGAAATTTTCCTTCATCAAAATTCCCAAAATGCAACCCCCACTACCTTATATTTTGTTACTTCATTATCTGTTATAAAACAGAAGGGTCCAATTATACATTCAATATGCTATCTGAGTCTCGCAGAAAATTCACATTTTTATTTATATTGCATAAAAATCATGAGTCTGGTTTATGCCTTGTGATTGTCAGCCGAGGAATGGAATCAGAAGCTTATAAACTGTTGTAAGCTAATATATGAATTCACATTCACAATCTAAAGACAGATCCTTTTTTCTGTTTCTCAGAAAGAATGTTTCCCCTCTACACATTCTCACACATACTTTAGTTTTTTAACTTGCTGAGATGATAGTTTTACACATTCTGTTCTCTAGACAATCTCTAACCACCCTCACTAGCAACTAAAACATTTCTGAAAAAAGGGAGGAGTTAGCTGGAATCACATGCATTACCACTGCCAGTTCAGAACTCCTCAAAACTATCAATGTCCCCCCAAACGGAGGAAATCTGAGAAATGGTCACAGCCAAAAGGAGCCTACATGGTCACTAAATGTAATGTCGTATTCTCCATGAGATTATGGAACAGAAAAGGGACATTTAAGTCTTGTGTCCTCCACTCCATTTGTTAAAATAAAAATTTTAACTTAAAATAGTTTTTGATTTACAGAAAAAGCTGTAAAGATAGTTGAAAGAATTCTCACGTACCCTTCGCCTATTTTACTTTACTAGTAACATCTCATTCTAGTATCCTACACTTGCCAAAATGAATAGACTAATACTGATATATTGTTGTTAACTAAAGTTTAAACGTTATGCAGAGTTGTTTTGTTTTGCTTTCACCTAATGTTCTTTTCCTGTTGCAGGATTCCATATAAGATATTACATTATATTTACCAGTCATGTTTGCTTATACTCCTCTTGGTTGTGACAATTTCTTGGGCTTTATTTTTTAATGACTTTGACAGTTTTGAACAGTGCTGGTCAGGTATTATGTACAATGCCTTCAACTGGAATTATCTAGGATTTTTCTCATGACTATATTGGGGAATGGATTTTAGGGAGAGGACCACAGAGGTAAAACGTCACTCTTATCACATCAGATCAAGGGTACATATTTTCAATATGTCTTATCTCTATTCATATTAATCTTGATCTCCTGGATGAGGTAGTGTTTTTCAGATTTTGTCATTACAATTTACTCTTTCTCCCCCATTTTATAGTATACTTTTTGTATAGAAGAAAGTCAATACAGGCAACAACTTAAGAAATGGAAAGTTATACCCCACCGCTTTGAGGGCAGAATATCTCTATAAATTATTTGATTTTTTTACATAAGATATTTATCTATTATTCCTTTCTTCATTCATTTTTCCCTTTTTTTAAACTTTTATTTTAGATTCAAGAGTACATATGCCGATTTGTTACCTGGGCATATAGCATAATGCTGAGGTTTAGGGTACAAATTATTCCATCTACCCTGAGCGTAGACTTCAACAGTTCATTTTTCAACACTTACTTCCTCCCTGCCTATCCTCTCTAGTAGCATCCAGTGTCTATTATTGCCATCTTTATGTCCATGAGTACTCAGTGTTTAGTTTCCACTTACAAGTGAGAACATGTGGTATTTGGTTTTCTCTTCCTATGTAAATTAGATTGAGATAATGGCCTCCAGCTGCATTCATGTTGCAGCAGAGGACATGATTTCATTCTTTTTTATGGCTACTAGTATTCCATGGTGTATATGTACCACATTTTCTTTATGCAGACCGCTGTTGATGGGCACCTATGTTGATTCCATGTCTTTGCTATTATGAATAGTGCTGCAATGAACATGCCAGTGCAAGTGTCTTACTGGTAGAATGATTTGTTTCCTTTTGGATATATACCCAGTAATGGGATTGCTAGGTCAAACGGTAGTTCTGTTTTAAGTTCTTTGAGACTTCTCCAAATTGCTTTCCACAGTGACTGAAGTAATTTACATTCCTACCAACAGTGTATAAGCATTTCTTTTTCTCCAGAGCCTCACTAGCATCTGTTATTTTGCAACTTCTTAATAATAGTCATTATGACTCATGTGAGATGGTATCTCATGGTGGTTTCGACTTGCATTTCTCAGATGATTAGTGAGGTTAAGTATTTTTTCTTCTGTTGCAATTACTTTTAAGGACTTGGTCGTAAATTATTTCTCAAGGCCAGTGTCCAGAATAGTGTTTCCTAGGTTTTTATCTAGGATTCTTATAGTTAGAGGTCTTACATTTAAATCTTTAATCCTTCTTAATTTTTTACATGGTGAAAGGTTAAGTGTTCAGTTTTATTCCACTGCATATGGCTTGCCAGCTATCCCAGCACCATTGAATAGGAAGTCCTTTCCCCATTGCTTATTTTTGTTGACTTTTTTGAAGATTAGATGGCTGTAGGTGGGCAGCTTTATTTCTGGGTTCTCTATTCTGATCCATTGGACAATGCGTCTGTTTTTGTATCAGTGTCGTGCTATTTTGGTTACTGTAGCCTTCTAATAGTGTTTAAATTCAGGTAAGGTGATGCTTCCAGCTTTCTTATTTTTGCTTAGGATTGCTTTGGCTATTCAGGCTCATTTTTGGTTCCATAAGGATTTTAGAATAATGTTTTTTTTTCTAGTTCTGTGAAAAATGACACTGGTAGTTTGATAGTAAAAGCACCGAATATGTAGATTGCTTTGTACAGTTTGACTATTTTAAAAATATCAGTTCTTCCAATCCACGAGTATGGAATGTTTTTGCATTTGTTTGTGTCATTTATGGTTTATTTTAGCAACATTTTGTAGTTCTTTTTGTAGAGATCTTTGACCTCTTTGTTTACATGTATTCCTAGGTGTTTGTGTGTGTGTGTGTGTGTTTGTGACTATTGTAAGTAGGACTGAATTCTAGATTTGGCTCTCAGCTTCAACGTTATTGATATATAGAAATGCTACTTATTTTTGTATATTGATTTTACATCTTGAGACTTTACTGAAGTCATTTATCAGTTCTGAGAGCATCTTCACGGAGTCCTTAGGGTTTTCTAGGTATATAATCATATCATCCATGAAGAGAGACATTCTTCTCATCTGCACACAGGAAATACTACAAGGTCAACCACATTCTCAGACACAAAGCAAATCTCAATGAATTAAAAAAAATTGAAATCATATCAACCATACTCAGAGACTACAATGAAATAAAAATAGAAATCAATACCAAGAAGATTTCTCAAAACCACACAATTAAATGGAAATTAAACAAGTTGCTCCTGAATGTCTTTTGGGTAAACAATGAAATTAAGGAAGAAACAAAAAACATTTTTTTTTAATAAATGGAAACAGAGATGCAACAGATCACAATCTCTGGGATGCAGCAAAAACAATCTTAAGAGGAATGTTTATAGCACCAAATGCCTATATCAAATAGTTAGAAAGATTTCAAATTAAAGATGTAACGTCACACCTAGAGGAACTAGAAAACAAGAACAAACTAACTCCAAAGCTAGCAGAATAAAATGAATAACTAAAATTAGAGTTGAACTGAACAAAATCAAGACCCCAAAATCCATACAAAGAATCAACAAAACCAAAAGCTTTTTCTTTGAGAGGATAAACAAGATCAATTGACCATTAGTTTGATTAACAAAAAAAAGACATAGTCCAAATAAACACAATTAGAAACAACAAAGATGACATTAAAACTGATCCCACAGAAATACAAAAGATCCTCAGAGACTATTCCAAACACCTGTATATACACAAAAGAAAATCTAGAAGAAATGGATAAATGTCTGGAAACATATAATCTCCCAAGATTGAGTCAGGAAGAATTTGAAACATTGAACACTCCAATATCAAGTTCCAAAGTTGAATCGGTAATAAAAAAAATACAACCCCGAAAAGCCCCAGACTGAATAGATTCACAGCTGAATTCCACCACACATACAAGGAAAAGATGGTACCAATTCCACTGGAACTATTCCAAAATATCAAGGAGACAGGAACACTCTCTAACTTATTCTGTGAATCCAGCAGCACCCTGATACCAAAAGCTGGCAAAGACACAACAAAAAAAGAAAACTACAGGCCAATATCCCTGATGAACATAGACACAAAAATCTTCAAAAAGATACTAGCAAACTGAATCCAATGGCACATCAAAAAGTTACTTCACCATAATCAGGCAGACTTCATTCCTGGGATGCAAGGTTGGTTCAACATATGCAGATCAGTAAATATGTTTCTCCACATAAACAGAATTAAAAAGAAAAGTATATGACCATCTTAATAGATCTGGGAAAAGCTTTTATTAAAACCCCAAATCTCTTCATTACAAAAATCCTCAAGAAACTAAGCATCAAAAGAACATACTGCAAAATAATAGGAGCCATCAATGACAAACCCACAATCAATATCACACTGAAAAGGCAAAAGCTGGAAGTATTCCCCTAGAAAACTGGAACAAGACAAGGATGCCCACTCTTACCACTCTTATTCAACACAGTACTGGAAGTTCTAACCAGGCCAATCAGGCAAGAGAAAGAAATAAAAGGCACCCAAATAGGAAAATAAGCCATCATTCTTTTATGTAATTATTTATTTATATGATTATAGACTCCTAACTATTGTTTCACTTGCTTTCAAAACCTATTTTTTAAATATACATGGGGTAATAACTCCTTCTTAGTATACACCATTTAAAAAATCATCCATTGAATCCATTATTTATCATACACTGCTCTTGTTTTTATTACCTAATCATTGATCACACTGTTCTGTATCTTTCTGGTAGCATTTTCTCACCCTAATAACTTTATATATGCTGTTATTTAAAATTGAATGTAGGTCAAACACTTTATTGCCCCTCTCTATAATTTTAAATGTAGCCTTTCAGAGAGGGGCTGACCTAAGTGCAATGCCCTGAATGTTTATGCCCCCCTCAAATCCATGTGTTGAAATCCTAATCCCCAAGGTGATGGTTTTAGGAGGTGGGCTGCTAAGAGGTGTGACTAGTTAATGAAGGCAGACCCCTCATAAATAGGATTATTGTCTTTATAAAACACAATAACCATTTCACCACGGAGAAATTCCTCATCCTTTCCATTATGTGAGGTTATAGCAAAAAGACAGCTGTCTAGGAAATGGACCATTGCTAGACAGTGAATCTGCTGGTGCCTTGATCTTGAGCTTCCCAGCTTCCCAAACTGTGAGAGACAAATTTTTGTTGTTAATTGGCCACCCAGTTTGTGGTACTTGTTACAGCAACTCACACAGACTAAGATATTAAGTCATGCCATTATTCTGTTTTTGTACCAAGAATTCTATGACATACATACATTATTTTCTCTTTCACAGATTCACAAAGTATTCTCTATGGAAGGTCCACATGCAATATAATTAAAAGAATGGACTAGTTAGTTTAACTCTCAGTCTACCATTAATATTTTTAAAACTATTCTCAAATTATAACATATGCCATATGTAAAAAGCTATAACCTCAAATAATGTTTTAAATATCAGCATGGAGTGTTTTGTTACAAAAGAAAGTTTCTTATTCAATTTACAATTGAATTTTTCTTTTTTTTGAAAATTATTTGTAAATAATATTATGCCTAGCTAAGTGAAGAGAACTTAAGATTTTGATGACCTTAAATCTTCTTTTAAGAAAATCAAGAGTTTGGTTACTCTTTGTGTGTGTGTGTGTGTGTGTGTGTGTGTGTGTGTGTGTATGTGTGTCTCATGTGCTTGTGTGCACATGTACGTATATATATGTATTATATATGTATCATATATGTATTTATATATATATTTCACCACCACACCTGGCTTATTATTTTTTTTTATTGAGACAAGGTCTTTCTATGTTGCTGGTCTAGAACCTCCTGGCCTCAACTAATCCTCCTGTCTCAGCCTCTCAAAGTACTGGTATTATAGGCATAAGCCACCATGTCTGGTTACTTGGTTCAATATTAAAACAATAGTTCTAATGAATGTTTAGTATATTCTCAGAAACATTTCACATCAAGATTATCAAAACAGTTCAAGTTTTCAATATTTACAAAAGAAACATATGGGAAAAGACAATATTATAATTGAACTGAAACCTCAATTTCGATACCTAATATGTGTATACACCTAAATATTTTGTATTTTTATGAAAACAAACAATATAAAAGACTAGTCTGTGCTCATGGGTGTCACACAGAAAGAATATTAAATCTGTTTTGAAATTGTATTGTTTTCACTTTATTCTGTTTGGAATAAGCTTAAGTGAGAAATCAGATGTTCCAGTTTTTATTTTCCTTCACTGCTTTCTTTATCATTTTCCTATTTTTGTCCTTCCTTTTAACATGGATGACTTCATGCCTCCATGCTTTCTTTCAAGAAAATTTCAAGACTATTATTTCCCAAATTTTGAAGGTGATTTTTAAAACCTAAATTTTCAGTTCCAATTCAATACAAATCGTACTGTTCTTGTTCTTTTTTTATTTTTATTTTTTAGACGGAGTCTTGCTCTGTTGCCCAGGCTGCAGTGCTGTAGCACAATCTTGGATCCCTGCAGCCTCTGCCTCCTGGGTTCAAGTGATTGTTCTGCCTCAGCCTCCCAAGTAGCTGGGATTACAGGTACCTGCCACCAAGCCCAGCTAATTTTTGTATTTTTAGTAGAGATGGGGTTTCACCATGTTGGCCGGGCTGGTCTTGAATGCCTGACTCCAAGTAATCTGCCCACCTCAGCCTTCCAAAGTGCTGGGATATTCTTGTTCTTGGTATATTATGTTATGCATTTTTAAAGAAATTATATTATGAGTATATAAAGTTTGAAAAAATAATAATACAGTTAAGAAATTTCATTTTATAATCTGACCATATTCTGGGTAACAAATTCAAACAAATTTACAGCCATAACTAAAATACATTCAGTAAATTCAGCACAAATGTATAATGTCCTTGATTTATTGAATATGAATCATTTCTTTGCTAAAGAAACCATCAGTATTCATCGCCAAACAAGGCAAATGTTTGAGGCTGTGGCCTTCGCTATCTAAATTCAAGAGCTTACATACGTATTTAGATGCAAAGTCTAAGTATTTTGATACTTGAAACAGAGGAATCAATTAGCTATGCCAAAGACACAATAGAAAATTCCATGATGCTGAAAAATTGTACATAAAGCATCAGCTGGTAATTTATACACAAACATACAACCTCTTATAACACCAAATTTAGTAGGGTTAGTCTGCTAATGTCCAGAAAACTCAGGATATTTGGGGATGCTAGAATCCCTGCCATCTCTCTTTTAATCTTGTTGATAAGAAGTATCATAAAATTACACAAGTACAATTTTTCATTTCATAGTAGTTGAATCTCTCTTTCTTTTTTGTCTGTCTCATGATCTCTGTCCTTCTTCATAGTTACTGAGCATTCTTCCTTATATTTGCAAACTTTCTGTTATACCCTATTTATTATAGTTTTAATATGAAATGTTAAACTCTGGCTTGGCCAGGGAATCAAGAAGCAGAGGCATCGATGTCAGGAGAATAATGTGGAATGTAGTGAGGGCATGATGTGGAACTGAGGGAATCCAATAGAATTTCTACAATAATAGAGGCCTTAAGTGCACTGGTGTAGTTAATTGACACAGATTTCCAGCTTCAGAGTAAATCCTGATAATCCATATTGAAGTAGCCAAAGCAATGATGCACAAACAGCATCTACAGCTCAGCTACAGGTTGAAGAGTAAACATAGAACAATATCTATAGGTTGCATAAAGAGAAATTGCTAATAAAAATGCTTGAAGGATAATATCTGCTTACATCTTAAAAGCCAAGGATATCTTTGTTATTTATAATTTAAAGTGATGTCATTTTCAATATTATTTTGACAATAAAAATCATGCTAAAATTTCTTCAAGGGCTCTATTTAACATGTACTTTTAAGTAGTTAATCTCACCTAATTCTCAAGATAACAGACTAAACTGTATATACTTTTAATATTAATTAGCATATTTCATGACCTTTTGCTCTGTTATTACTTCATTTTGTATTCATGATACCTTCATCTAGTTATTTCATGACCATATTACAGTTGAAGAATCTGTAACTTAAATAGCTAAATGATCATGAAAGATTATGTAATTAGAAAGTAGTTAACTTGCATACAAACCAACTCCCATTAAAATATAACTGAAGAATGGGTGATTATTAATTTAATATATACTAAAAATATCTAAACCTTAATGAAATATTTTATTAAATTAATTTGTAACCAACAGATTGACAGATGATGGCCAATATGTCCAAAATAATTCTCCATTTTAAAATAATGACATGGTACACCCTGTTCATAGTGAATAGTACGAAATATGTTTAAAATGCACAGATAATTTTAAAGCATTCACCCATTTCTGAGAGTACATTTTTTATTTTCAAATTTTAGCAAAAAACAATATTTAGGTAGTGTGACTGTCCTGCTTTCTAGACAAGAAGGACTCCGCACACTGAGCAAGAGAGAGAAAGGAATTTAATGATCATAACTCCATGTCATACCCAGATGTCAATTGTCCTTGTGGCTATAGGACAATGCATCAGAGCTAAATAGAATCAAGCAATAATACAATAAGAAAAAGTATCATTCAAATGATCCCCCATCTAGAAAAAAAAAATCATTGTTCAACGTGGGATTAAGAGAGAGATATGTGGAAAATTTAAACTAAAAAGTAGTAGAAGTAGAGAAGGAGTACAAAGCCAGGTGTTATTTTCAGAAAAGAGAAGGTACCTCTTGGTGATTTTTGAATTTCTTTAGGCCTCTTATATGGGCTCTACTAGACCAGGCACTATTCATCCACAGAATCCAAATACCATTTGGCTTGGATTTAATTTCTTCACCACTTACAGGTTCAAGCTGATAAAGTACTCTGGAGTACATCTTTTTGACAAAATGATTGCATGCAATTGAACTATGAATGATAAGCTTCTCAGGTTCAGAAATGAGTCAGGCGCATTATCATTGTTACAGTCCATTGCACTCCAAAATTTAGTGGACGTTTTCCTGCCTCTTAATATCTACTTAAACTTCAGTGACCTTAAGAGTTCTAAAAGATACTGGGAGGGTGTATTGGTCCATTCTTATGCTGCTATGAAGAAATACCCAAGACTGGGTAATTTATAAGAAAAGAGGTTTAATTGACTCACAGTTCTGCATAGCTGGTAAGGCCTTAGGAAGCTTACAATCACAGTGAAAGGCACATCTTCACAAGGTGGCAAGAGAGAGAATGAGTGCAAGCAGGGGAAATGCCAGATGCTTATAAAAACATCAGATCTCACGGGACTCACTCATTATCAGGAAAACAGCATAGGGGAAATGAGCCCCATGATCTGATTACCTCCACCTGGTCCCACCCTTGACACCTGGGGATTATGGGGTTTACAATTCATGATGAGATTTTGGGTCCAACCATATCAGGGGGGTTGACCTCAACTTTATATAAACCCTTCCAGTATGTCAGCTTATATTTTTATTGTCCCTTGAGTCATCTGAGCTGCTGATTTCATATATCTCTATAAAGTTTTTGACCTGAACTTAAATTCAGGTCCAATTCCAATTTCAACAAAAAATAAAAATCACTCAATAAAATAATTGTGCATTTAGTAAATTTCAATATTTTTTTCAATGTAGCTCTTGCTCTTTTTTTCTATCTATATTATTCAAAGCAATTCAACTACTTGTTACTTTAGCTCAGTAGAGAAAAATGATCATCTATTTAGTAGAAAATACCGTCTGAAGAAGATCACTACTAGGTGTAGATGCTTACACATACTGGGTGCTAAAATTGGCTTGTTGATTTAAAAGTAGAAGGGCATATGAAAGAGCAAGGGAAGATTGAGTAGATCCACTTGAAAAAGCATATTAGCATCTTGCTTACTTCAAAGGGTCAAAGGTAGCCATCTTTCAGGTTCTAGCACATTTGTGTCTGGTATATAGGAAAAAGTACCAGACTGTGATACCTAATAAGATACACTTTCTCCAGGTATAGTACTTTTCAGCTTACTTAGCTTACTTCTTGTACTTAGAACATCAGAATGGCATCTTAAAAGTTTTAGTAAGTGTTTCAAATCCTCCTTAGGCATGATAATATGGCTAGTATATCATTTGCATACACACATATTTGGAATTAAAGATGGATTTATTATTAAAGAAAATTTTCTTGGTAAAGATGTAAATTGTAAGTAAATATAAGGATGGTAGGTGAGTGTGTGTGTGTGTTTTGTTATTGTTGTTTGTTTTTTTTAAAGAGATGGAATCTCACTATATTGCCCAGGCTAGATATGAACTCTTGAGCTCAAGCAATCCTCAGCCTCTTGAGTAGCTGGAAGTATGAGTGCAAATGCCTAACTCTGAGTGGTGTTTTTAATAAGAGAAAAACTGAAAAAAAGTTGTTGAATTTTTAGATTAATTTATACTTAAAATAGAACTATCATACAATCCAGCAATCCAACTACTGGTATTTATCCAAAGAAAACAAAATTAGTATATCAAAGGGATACCCGCACCCTTATGTTTATTTTGCACCAGCACTATTCACAATAGCCAAGATAGAGAATCAACCTAAATGTCCATCAGGAGAAGAACAGATAAGGAAAATGTGGTATATATGTTCAAAGAAATATTGTTCAACCATAAAAAAATGAAAACCTCTCATTTGCGGCAACATAGGTGGAACTGGAGGTCATGTTAAGTGAAATAAACCAGGCACAGAAAGACAAATATTACATGTTCTCACTCATATGTGAGTGCTAAAAAAATTAATTTTATGGAGGTAGATAATAGAATAATACTTATCAGAGGCTGAAAAGAGTGAGTGTGGAGGAGGAAAGGAGTCAGTTGAAGAGAGGTTGGCTAAGGGGAACACATACAGTTATACAGAAGGAATAAGTTCTAGTGTTTGATAGCACAGTAGAGTGAATAGTGAACAACAATTTATTGTGTATTTCGGAATAGCTAGAAGATTTGAAATAGCCCCAACACAAAGAAATGATAAATGTTTGAGGTGATGGGTATTCTAAATACCCTGATTTAATCATTACATATTGTATAAGTATATAAAATATCACATGTCTTTTGGTGGCCTTATATTCCACAGCCTATACAACCAGAGGTCAAGGTAGGCTCCCTAACTGTCTTTTGCTCCCATTAATCATCAATTGTGTCAACGGATAATAGTTAAATTTAAAATTATTTGGGTGCCTACTATAGTCATGCCTTGGTATTTGTGGAGAATTGGTTCCAGGATGACTGCTGGATATCTAAATTCCTGTATACTCAAGCCCCTTACATAACATGATGTAGTATTTGCTATCATATGGAATATAAAGCCGCCAAAAGACAACGGGGACCTCTTTAAGATTTTTAATGTTCATAATATATTGATAAGGATGCCTTACAGTGCAGACAAATATATTGTAATGTACAACTAGATAGCTGGACTATCCATCATGAAGTTTTGGAATTATACACAGATCAATACTGCCTCTAGATGTGCTTAATTCAGATTGGAACTATTTTGTGTGTATGACTGCCTATGCTTGTTTTATTTTTTCAAATTATAAGTAAGGCTGGAGAGATAAAGCAGTTGGGTTTGGCCAGGTGCAGTGGTTCTGGCCTGAAATACCAGCACTTTGGGAGGCCGAGGCAGGTGGATCACTTGAGGTCAGGAGTTCGAGACCAGCCTGGCCAATATAGTGAAACCCCGTCTCTACTAAAACTACAAAAACGAACTGGGCATGGTGGCGCACGCTGTAATCCCAGCTACTTGGGACGCTGAGGCAGGAGAATCACTTGAACCCTGGAGGCAGAGGCTGCAAGGAACGAAGATTGCACCACTGTACTCCAGCCTGGGCCACAGGGTGAGACTCCATCTAAAAAAAAAAAAAAAGAAAAAGAAAAAGAAAGCAAGCAAGCAAGCAAGCAAGAAAGAACAGTTGGGTTTGATTGTTTTAAGGGCTTTGTTCCACTTGTTTCATCATTGGGTATTCTGGTTTCAAAGATAACTTGCTCTCTGTGGAATTTTCTGCATGTACACAACACAGTTAAGTTCCCTCAATGTGTTGATTCTGATAGAAGCAACATTTTGTCTGTGCCTACTATTGCCTGTTCAAATCTTGTCTACCAATAATACTGTGGCAGGTATAAAATATTTGGGGTGCAGTATTTTGGGAAAGAGGATCATCTGTTTCATCTTTGGTAATCAGATTTTAGAGATATAAGCTTCTCACCTGCAGTATTTAGCTGCCAGGTTTGAGCCACACAGTTTCTTGAGATGTGTCAGTTCCCCAAAGCTATAGCTGCTGACACATCAGTCTTGCGATGGTGGATCTTTCTCAAGGTAGTTTCTACGAGCTTCAAAGTTGGCATGTATAAAATCAGTTCTCATTCTGAAAATATGTATTTGATTTAGAAAATTACTATTGTCCCGAAGTCACAGAAGCTGCTATTGAGAGTAGAGGGGCTTCAAGGTATGGACAGATTTTCATGAATATTTACATCAAGTCCGAAAGCCTTGAGGGCTCAAGGGCCATGACCATTTCATCATGCTTTTTTACACACATAATTTCTATACTTCATGGCCCAGAATAAAGGTCAATTTTTTTTTGCAAAAAGACTCCCTTGATAATCCCAGTCAGAATTCATTAACACTTCCTCTACAATTCAATCTCTCTATCCTATTTTATACTGCTACCATAATAATTATCATATTCTTACCATTATAATTATTTGGTATATTGACCTTCTTTTCCCATCCCATTAGGCATATAGTAGGGATTTACTTAACAATCAACACCCACAAATCGTGACTTTCCCTCTTCTACTAGTATTGCAATCTGTTTTCAAACTGCAAAGGCCAGAATTATTGTTTATATGTAATACACACCTGAAAATTAAATTAAATTGTTGTAACATAATTGCAGTGTGTAAAAATGCCATGAATTATATAGATCATGCCATGAATTATATAGATCAATATTATATATTTAGTAGGTGCTATTAAATAAAATGCCAACAATCTTCCAGGTACTTGATAAAATGAATCGCTCTTGCTTTTGACAATCTTTGGCTTTGAATATGTACAGCAGAAATTTTCTAATCCTAGTTGGTGTTCACTCAATAATTTAGAAAGAAATAAACCTACTCTTCTGAAAGTAATATATTCAAGAGTCACATAGATTTCTTTATAAATCATAGATAACATAATTAGCAAAGAGAATAAGACTAGTTATCTATATTCAGGCTATAGGCAAGAGTTAGGCTTAACCTACCATTGCCTAAATGAAATATATAAGAAACAGACCAAATCTTCCCATTCCCAAATATTATATAATTGACATTTCTATAACTTTCAATACATGAGACTGACATCCTGTGGCTGTATACTATGTGTAATTAAGAAACCCTGTTTGCAAATGACCCTGTGCTTGCTGCCAATGAGCATGCTCTAGTGCAGGTCATCTGTGCTATGCAGAAGTAAGGAGCCCTGATAATAACGCCGGAGGGGGGTAAGAAAAACAGCACATTCAAAGTCATTTTTTGACCATATCAAACTGTCAGGTAGACAAACAGAATGGCTATAATACATCTAAAAATAGTAAAAATTCAAAGTGTAAAAATGCATTAAAAGGAAATTCAATCCGGAAAAATGGAAACTAATGCATCTATGAAAGATAGTTATTTAATCAATAAAATCTGGAACACCTCTATCCTGACAGCGATAATGAACAGAAAACTCATGAAGAGTTTGCAATGTTATATATGACAGTACTCTGGGCTACATATAACACCACCCTTTTCAGGAAGTTTCATGTGTGTTACTGCCAAGATTCTGTTAAACTGTGAAGACTCTGTGGCATAAGTATGAAATGTTAGCATGTTAGATTGAAAGAGATTAACTGATTTAACTATGCTTGTAGGACTGGAAACACCCAACTGTCTACTGGTTTTCTCCATTTTGAACTAAACTAATGCTTTATAACAATTTTCATTCTGGAGTACAAATATTTAATACAAAATATATTGCTTATCACAGTATATCTAAAATTTGAAAATCCTGAAGGGACATTTTAAGGTGTATATTTATATATATATAAAGTGTGTGTGTAAATATATATATATATAGTGTATGTGTGTATATATATATATATATAAAGATGAAGACAACTTGAAAATCCTGAAGGGACATTTTAAGAGTGTGTATATATATATATATATATATGAAGATAACTATGAAGTAAATCTTTTTAAAAACAATTTTGTTACATTATTTTCTTTCTAATTACATTACTTACGATGATTTCCTTTGTCTATTCCTTTTAAGTCTTTTACACTTTTAAGTATATATTGTTAGACAGAAAGCTGTAGATGTGAATACCTGTATTTGTACGTCTATATTTATCCATCTTATAGCTAGAGGTAAAGAAAATGAGAGGCAATAATTTGTCCCTAATGTAATTAGATGAATCTTTTGTGGTATGACTATAGACTTTAAATGTCTATTGTTGAAGTCAGGAAAAAACATGAGGGATATTCTATCACACTAATGAAACATATGGCTTATAGTTTAGTGGCATAGAAAATAGATTTTTGTTGCTTTTATTTAATTATCTTTCCTTCACTTTGAATATCTAGTTTTTATTTCCATTGTACTGGATGACTTTATGTAAGATTTTTCATGTCTTTTTTTAAAAAAACAATGTAGTATGTTAAAATAATACGAATACTAAAATATAAGTAAACAAAATTTAAATTATCAGCCAGGTGCAGTGACTTATGCCTGTAATCCCAGCACTTTGGATGGCCGAGGTGGGTGCATCACTTGAGGTTAGAAGTTTGAGACCAGCCTGGCCGATATGGCAAAACCTTGTCTCTACTAAAAATAAAAAATTAGAGTGTGGTGGCATGTGCCTGTAATCCCAGCTACTCAGCTGGCTGAGGCAGGAGAATTGCGTGAACCCAGGAGCCAGAGGCTGCAGTGACTACAGATCATGCCATTGCAATCCAGCCTTGGTAATAGAGAGACTGTGTCTCAAAAAAAAAAAAAAAAAAAGAAAAGAAAAGAAAAGAAAAAGTAAAGTATACACTAATGCACGTGTATGTATGCATGATGTACATAAAATTTCCACAGCAGCAAGGACAATATTTGATTTTCTCTTCACCATATGCTTAATGCATAGCACAGGATAGGCAGTCACTACATGTTATTTAATGAAAGACTGAATGAATAAATGAATGGATGTATATATGTCATTTTTTAACGTTTTTATTATTATTATTTTTCTTGTCAGAGTTGCCATATTTAGCAACATCTTTCATGGAAAACCAAATTTCTGACCAATCAGGTTTTTTTAATTTTAATTTTTTCAGCTTTATTGGGGTATAACTGACAAATAGAAACTGTATATATTCAAAGTGTACAATGAGATGTTTTGATACATCTGTCCATTGTAAAACAATTATCACAATCAAGATAATATATTAATATACTCATATTCTCACATTGTTATCTGTTTCTGTGCTTATATGATGAGAATACTTAAGATCTACTTTCTTAGAAAATTTCAAGTATACAATACGTTATTAACTTATAGTCACTATGTTGTACATTAGGCTTCCAGAACTTGTTCATCTGAGTTGCCAGTTTTCACCTGTTGATAAAGTTCTACCCTTTTCCCATCTGCGACACCTGGTAATCATCATTCTACTGTTTCTATGAGTTTGACTCCTTTAGAGTTCAAATATAAGTAAGTTTATGCAGTATTTGTCTTTCTGTGTCTGCTTTATTTTATTTAACATACTGTCTTCCAAGTTCATTCATGTTGTTACAAATGTTAGGATTTCCTTTTTTTTTGAGATGGAATAATATTCCATTATCTGTATGGTATGTATTCTAAATAATTTTTAAGAAGATTTGTAAAAACGTAAAGAGATTTTAATTAAAACTGCATTAAAGCTGTAAATAAATTAGATAAAATTCCCATCTTTAAAATATTATCATGAATTTTAGAGCACGACTGCCTTTCCTTTTTTCTAGATATTTAAATAAATGTTTTAATAAACACAATAAAATTTTTAAAATTATATTTATTTCTATAACTTTAATTTCTTACTAAATTATCTAATAGTTATACTTTATTGGAAAATCATTGATAATTTGTAGGTATCTACATATTTGCTAATATGCTGATTTTTTTATTTTATGTTTGTTGACCCTTAAATTTACTAAGTCGACAAAAGTAACAACTGTAATATTGATAAATTTAAATATTTAAATTTTAGAAAATATTTTATGGGCTACTACAATCATTGACATTTCTAAGAGTGTAAAATAATTATATGAAATGAAATTTACTATCTCATTTTGATTCTGATTTTATTAAGAGAGTTTCTAGAACTTAAGTTTTAATTATCAGGTTATTTATTAAAGATAAAAACTAAAATAATACAGACTCTGCCTTCTATTGCTGTTTTATAATTAATTTTATTTATAAAGTATTATATTTTAACCAAATAGTATTTTGGCATTGTTTACATTTTTTTCCAAGCAGTTTTCTTCACAATGAGCTTTAACATAAAATTTTGTGTGTATGATTTTTAAAATGTCAGGAGTAATAGAAGGCTTTTTTGACTAGTAGTTATCTAAAAAATTAATCAAAAACTGATTACATGTTTTCCAGCCACACTAGACTCTGTCAGTTCCATCACTGAAAGCATGAAGATATACTCCATTTCAGGACTTAAAAATTTTGTGTCTGCTGATGTGTGTTCCCCCAGTGCTTCTTCAAATCCTGAATTCTTACACACTTTTTAAAATTTGATGGCTCTCTTCATTCTTAAAGATATTCATTAATGTCACTCTTTAAGACAGAACTTCCACTTTGCTTGCTCCATCGTTATTTCTCACAGTATGCTGCATGGTTATATTTATAACAGCATATAACATATGTCACAATATTTAAAATATATTTATTTTCTAAATTTATTATTTTCTGCATGTGTTAAAGTTAACTGAAGTAAGGATTTAGATTTGACTATTGCAGTGTTTCCACACAGAAGATACTTAAAGGATGATGCATAAATAGCTAATATATAGTTCCCATATATACCTCCAAGATGGCAGGACCTTGTTGCAATTGAAGCCAGATCAATTTTGATGGGAAAATTAACAAACAGAAGTAAAAAACATATTTAAAATATACAAGTATATCTGACTTATCATAGTCTAAGATAAAAAATACACAGAAGGATCTTAGCAAAAGTAAATTTTAACTGAAACCTCAGGGTTTTCCCTAAAATAAGGTCACATGTAAAGATGAGTTGACAATGCAAAATCACACTACACAATTGAAAGACCATCGACAACCAGAGTAAAAAAAAAAATCAGATTTACATCCACAAGAAATTTATATAAAGAATGTAAACCAAAAACAAAATTCTGAGGCCTCCCATTTATCTAAATGAACCCCTCCTCTCAGCCAAGGGCATTCCAGAGTGAAGCTGAAAACCCAGTCCAGGCTATGATAGAAGAAGGGGTTGGACATGCTTCCTTTTACCTTCCAGCATTAACATCAACACTAGCTTTAAGTCTGATTATAAACATTAATCTTAATGCATAGTATTAAGATCTATTTTCTCTGAATCCTGCTACTTGGAAGCTTCTGCTACATAATAAAACCTTGGTCTCCACAACTTCTTATTATAATCTAGACACTCCTTACTACTGATAATAACTCTTTCAATCAATTGCCAATCAGAAAATTTTTAATTCTACCTATGACCTGGAAGGCCCTCTGATCCCTGCTTCAAGATGTCCTGCACTTCCAGATCAAATCAATATAACTCTTACATGTATTGTTTGATGTATTTTTGTCTCCCTAAATTGTATAAAAGCAAACTGTACCCCAACCTCCTTGGGCACATATCTTCAGGACCTCCTGAGGCTGTGTCACAGATGCATCCTTAACCTTGGCAAAATAAACTTTCTAAATTGATTGAGACCTGTCTCAGATACATTTGGGTTCATGCCTGTATCTTGGCAGGTATCTTGGGAGGCTGAGGCAGAAGAATGGTGTGAACCCAGGAGGCAGAGCTTGCAGTGAGCCAAGATCACTCCACTGCACTCCAGCCTGGGCAACAGAGCGAGACTCCGTCTCAAAAAATAAAAGAAAAGAAAAATAAAAGAAAATGTGTGCTATGTATGATTTAACTCCAAGAAAAGGAAGAGAAAGAACCGTCATGAAGTCAACTCATTCAGAAAGAAAATACAATGCTAGTGAAAAAGCAGCAGGAAATTTTAGTCCCACTACATCTGAGGAAATTTGCATTCAGTAAATTATCAGTGAACTAATTTCTAAAGAATATTTTCCAGGAAAAAGAAAATAAACCCCCCCAAAAAGATCTCGTATACAATTAAAAATAAATCAATTGAGGAGTGAGACTATAATAATGTAAATATAATCTTTTCAGTTAATGCATTCAGAAGCAAAGGTCTTTGTATTTCTGAGGTGGCAGGAACATATTATTTTTATTTAAATGTAAATCAAACATACCCAAATTTTCCAACATTGAACAGATTATTCTATTTCCCTGAGTATTTATATGTTATTTGTAAATGTTTAACATTTTTTTCTTTTTTAGTTCTTACACATAAGAGCTGTTGGCCATGTGCGGTGGCTTATGCCTGTAATCCCAGCAGTTTGGGTGGCCGAGGTGGGCAGATCTGTTGAGGTCAGTAGTTCGAGACCAGCCTGGCCAACATGGTGAAACCACGTCTCTACTAAAAATACAAAAATTAGCCAGGTGTGGTGGCGCATGCCTGTGAGCTCAGCTACTCAGGAGGCTGAGTCAGGATTGAACCTGAGAAGCGGAGGTTGCAGTGAGCCGAGATTGTGTCATTGCACTTCAGCAGGGGTAACAAGAGCAAGGCTTTGTCTCAACAAAAAATAATAACAACAAAGAATAAAGCTGTTATAAACTGAATTTTGTTTCCCCTAAATAGCCCCCTAATGAAGCGCTAATACCCAGTTTCTCAGAATGTGACTGTATTTGGAGATAGGGCCTTTATAAAAGTCATTACTTTAAAATGAGACCTTCAAGTTGGGCCTTAATCTATTCTGACTAGTATCCTTAAAAGAAGAGGAGATCACGTCCTATAAAGAGAAATATCAGCAATTTATGGGCATAGAGGAAAGGCCATCTGGAAGCCAAGGATCAGGTCAGAAGAAATCAAACCCACCAATGCAGGTTGGACTTGTGGTCTCCAGAATGGTAAGAAAATAAATTTCTGTTATTTAAGCCATGCAGTCTGTGGTATTTTGTTACAACAGCTCTAGCAAACTAATACAACAATATATATTCCTGATGGATGAAAGCCTAAGGTCCACTGAACATTACTATTTTTGGACAACATAAGAGATTTAGAACACCATTATTTCATTACTCTTCTCCCAAATCAATATGGCATTTTATAGTATATTCTATGTGTGTGCGAGTGTGTGCGTGTGTGTGTGTGTTGTTTAACTTTATTTGTCAACTTAGCTAGGCAATGATGCCCAGTTTGTTAAACACTTAGCCTAGATGTTGCTGTGAAGGTATTTTGTAGATGTGATTAACGTTTATAATCAGATGACTTCAAATAATGCTGATTACTCTTCATAATGTGAATGAGCTTTTTCCAATCAGTTGAAGGCCTTAAGAACAGAGACTGAAATTCTTCTTTTTTTAACACATGAATCAAACTGATGACTTTGAAGTCCATTATGCGGATCTCCTATAGGTCTTTCTAGTATATATTTTGTCCTCATTTTCAAACTTTATATTCATTTTTTCCAGTTATATTTCAATTAGGTTAATATAAATAATTTGTTACAAAATGCATAAAACTTAAGCATAAAATTCAATGACATTGTCAAATGCATATGCCTATAATCCTAACACAAAAATCCAGATTCCCAAAATGTTTCCTCATAGCCTCTTCCAATAAAGTTGCACTTCACATAGATAATCAGTGATACAGAAATTGTTATAATTTTTGTTAATTATAGATTTGACTTATTCTTGATCTTATATAAATGGATTCATAATGTCTAAATGTTTTTGTGTTGTTTATTTTGTTCAATCTCATGATTTTGGAAGTTAGTATTTTTGAGTGTATCAGTAGTTTTTTTAATTAATACATAATATCACATTATAAACATAGCACTTCTAGCTATGATAGAATCATTGGTATCAGACTTATAATCTTATCATAGACCAATATAAAACATTATCTCGCACTGGACAACAGGCAGTACAAAACAATGATCATTATATCAAGATAAACACACAAATTAAATCTTAGGTTTGCCTGACTTTGTGACCATGGTAGAAGAATACTTTTTAGACTGTGGGAGAAAGACATGCAACCAAAGTGTGTAAGTTTCACTGAACTCAGGATGCAGACACATGAATTTCATTTTGCTTAAAGTAGTGAAAATCTGCAGGACTGAATACCATTCAGGAGAGGTTTTCTAAGTCTGTGAGGAGTTTCACAACATATCCATGGCAAAAGGCTACATGCGTATGCATAAAATGAAACTCCTGATGTTCTCAAGAAAGCAGTTGCTGCAGAACTGAGGTGAACAGAGATACCAGAGATCAACAGGGACAAAAAATAACAGAGTTCTGGCTCAGCAAAATAGGAAACACATCACTAAACACTGGGCATTTAAATAAGACCCCAAAGAGATCATGTGTTAGGAGTAACAAATGCATGCTAAATAGAACATTCTCTAAAACTAAAAATAAAGCCAAAATTGGCTCTTCTTAACAAAGAAAAAGGCCAAGCATGACAAAAGTAATAGAATCTATCGACAATTTAATTGCCTGTGAGAAAAAATTTATGACTCTTAAAAAAGAGAAAATGTTAACAGTGAATAGAAAAATAATACTGACATTTTCGCCATATCATCCACAACACCCAGATTAAAATAAATATGACAATACTAGATTTATGAAGAAACAAAGATATGTGTGCTCTATAAGCAAGAAAAACAGTAATTAGAAACAGGTTACAAGATACCTTAAATGTTGGATTTATTAGATCGAGATTTTGAGATATCTTTAAAAAATATATTGAAGAATTTCAACGAAAAGTGAGTCACAATCTATAAAGAAATGGAGACTCTTGGAAGAGAAATTCAAATTAAAACAGAGAAGCAAATGGAAATTCTATGACAAATAAGTACACTGATTGAAACTTAAAAATGAACTTAATGGATATAACAGCAGACATAAAACTGCAAAAGAAAGGATCAACGAAGTGGTAGAAAGAATTTTAGAAATAATGCAAACTAGCAAACTAGTGATGAAATAAGATTAAAAATAAAACTCCTGATAGTCTTAATACGTGTAACCCGTCAAGAAGCCTTACATATATCTAATTTGAATTACATAATGAGTGAGTGGAAATAACAAAAAAAAATTTGAAGACATGATGTTCAAAATTTTCTAATTAATAATAAAGACATTAAGTAATTAATGTCTTTATTAATTCTAATTAAGAATAAAGACATAAAGTAAACAATCATATGTCTAAGCTTAGGAATCTCAGGCATATAAATCCAACCACACATACAAATACATCCACATTCATATCTGGGGAACTGACACCCAAAGAGTTCATTAGCAGTTAGAAAGGAAATATAATGAAATTGAGGAAATATATTAAAAGTAACCAGGAGCAGGGGAGTACATTACATACCATAGAACAAGGAAATGAATGAGCTGCTTCTCATTGGAAACAATGGAGCAACATATTTAAAATTCTGAGAAATATCAAATTGGAATTTGATATTCTCCAATTATTTCTTTAAAAATGAGGCTAATATAAAGGTTCTTTGAGATAAAGAAAATCTGAGCTAAGTTGTTGCCAGCAGACCTACACCATAATAAATAATACAGGATGTTCTTCAGGTTGAAATGAAAAGATAGCAGATGGAAACTTGAGTCTACAGGAGGAATAAGCAGCATCAGAAATAGCAAACATGTGGATAACTGTAAAAGACTGTTTTTTATTGGTTGTTTTTCCACTAATTTCTTCAAAGATAACTTTTGAAGCAAAAATAATAATCTGTGTTATGTGGTTTGTAACTATGTTTAAGTAAAATATGACAGCAATACTAGAAGGTATGGGAAGTTAAGACAATTCTATTGTTCTAAATTATAACATTTTATATGAAGTGGCACAATATAAACCTAATGTATGATAATGTAATGGCTCATTTTATAACCACCAGAATTATTACTAAAATAGCAATTCATACATCTAAATGTTAATAGTCAGTGGAGAAAATAAAACAGATAGTAAATAAATTTTCTGAATCTGCTAAAAATGACAGGAAAGGAGTAAATGGGAAAAAAAAGTAAAACAAAAAGGGAAAATTAAAAAACAAATGACATCATGATTTCTTTAAACCCAAGCATATAAATGAATGCACTATTTTAGATTAAGGTACGGAATATTAAAATAGCTTCATATTTATTTTCACTATATGTAACTTCCATTTAACAAATTAACATTAAAAATGAAAAAGTGAATACATTTAGTAATATTAAAAAGAAAGACAATGAAAATGTTGTTGGAATAACTAGTAATTAATTTTATAAAATACAGATGAGTTAATATTATGAAAGTTGTTTGGAAAAAATTAGAATTATATATGACAAAAACTATGAATTATGAAAAAATAGATAATTATTGGAGAATTATCTCCCAAGAGCAAATTATTAACATCAGAATGATTTATTAATCAATTAATGAAATAATAAATACTATCATCTCTAAAAATATACCACATGACTTTAGGGAAGCTAGGTTCTAGAATCATCATATCTGAGAAAAAAATGTCAGAGTTAACATGGAATGTTGTATTTTGTTATACTCCTTCACAGAATATTAAATTAACATCTTAAACTAATCCCGAATTTAGATAATTCAAACAAAGTTTAGCTCTTTCAAATCCTGACCTACTTCTGGTTAAATCGTTTTTAGGTCGTGACGTATTCAGATCCCTCAAAATGACCTACAGTGTTCATGAGACTTTTAGGTTCATAAAGACTCTAATTTCAGCCTCCAAATTCTTTGTTTAGCTCTGCTCAGCTTCTCTGGTTCTCCAAAAGTATTTTGAGTATTGTAGCAATACCAGACTCACCTCTTTGAATCTGCCTTCTCTTCTCAATTTTATTGTCATACATCATAATTTTCTGGGTAGCACTCCAATGCCTTCTATCACATTTTCAATATATATTTATCCTTTGCGCCTACATGTTTACAGGACAATTCTTCATCTCCAAATGTAAGAAACAGAGTCTAACTTCATTTCGTTCTTAAAATAAAAAAATTTACGGCCAGGCGCAGTGGCTCACGCCTGGAATCCCAGGACTTTGGGAGGCCGAGGAGGGTGTATCACGAGGTCAGGAAATTGAGACCATCCTGGCTAACACGGTGAAACCCCGTCTCTACCAAAAATACAAAAAATTAGCCGGGCGTGGTGGCGGGCGCCTGTAGTCCCAGCTACTCTGGAGGCTGAGGCAGGCTAATGGCGGGAACCCCGGAGGCGGAGCTTGCAGTGAGCAGAGATGGCGCCACTGCACTCCAGCCTGGGCGACACAGCGAGACTCCATCTCAAAATAAATAAATAAAAACAAAAATAAAATAAAAAAAAGTGACGATTCAATTCAATTTTAAATCTGTGAGCAAAGTTTTGTTTACAATCATTGAAGTTCTATCTTTTTGTTTCCCTGATAATTATATTTCAAAATTTTAAAAGTTATAAAATTTAAAATCGTTTTATAATATGGAAGAAATAGCTGGAAAATTTATGGTCGATTATAATTCTAATTGTTGTGAGCCAACAATAATATTATTTTATTTATTTATTAAGAAAAATTTATTAAGTTTCTACTATATGCAAAGAGCAGAGCTAATAGCTCCAGTTATATGCTGCTTCCCATAGTATAATCAGTGTTCATTGCAAAGAAAACAGCTACAAAATAAGTAATCAAAATGTCAGCTGCCTTAGAGATTAAATGGAATTTAAGCTCAAAGAAAATAATTATGTACAACTGTAATAACAATTTCTTAGGGAGTATTCCTATTATTAATTGTGATGAAAGGGCAAATTATGCAAGCTTTTCAAATGAAAAATTGTTCACAAAATATTCAACATTCGTGTTTTTGATTCATTGCGAATTATTCGTCACTCTCTTAATAGCTTCAACTCCCTGTCAGAGCAAGTTAACAACAACAGTAATTATTATGACAACATTAACATGTAAATAGTTTTTTAAAATAATATTAACAAAACTGATTTTTATTTCACTGTCTACAAAGTATAACTGGAGAAGAGGAGAAAAATTAATGTTCATTTAGTTCTTTATTTATAACTTTTTACTAGTCAAAATTTCAAGAAATTTTTCTAGGCAACTATTTTATGTAACTAATACCTGGTACTAAACTGTAGAGCTTACCACCATTTTATTGATGAGGAAACATATCCAGTACATTAAAGCACACTTTCAGAACAGTTGAAAATTTGACGTCCAGAGTCTTAAAGGCTTGAAGATTACTTAAGAGCCTATCTTCTCTTCTGCTGTAGAGTTATAGTGATCATAGCTAACATTCCTCTTTGTTCTTTAGGAAATCATCTTCCTTAACGAAATTTACTTTGTTAGTGTTTCTATTTATTATATGTAGCTTGCTTTTATTATATGAATGAGTTGATTTCCAAAAATTTTATTCTATCTAAATTTTATATTTTTAGATTTTGATTATTTCAGAATCATTTCATTTCATTTTTTCCCTGAATATGGTCAAATATATTACTTTTTAATTTTATTTTAATTAACTTTTCAATGGTAAGCAGATGGCCAAGGTTGGGAAAATTAAATATAACTAGATTCCACATATTAAGCAAAGGAGATCGATGGCATTGCCATTCAGTTGGTTTTGCAGCAGCTGTTGATAAACACCCACATTTTGCTTGATATTGAACCCCTCAAAACACCAAACCCAAACCCAGGCCCATAGTATTAAAATCTCTACTGGATAATAACAGTGGTGCTTTGCCCACATCTCTTTTTTTTTTTTTTTTTTTTTTTTTTAGACAGAGTCTTGCTCTGTCGCTCAGGCTGGAGTGCAATGGCACGATCTCGGCTCACTGCAAGCTTCGCCTCCCAGGTTCACGCCATTCTCCTGTCTCAGCTTCCCGAGTAGCTGGGACTACAGGTGCCCGCCACCACGCCCGGCTAATTTTTTTCGTATTTTTAGTAGAGACGGGGTTTCACCGTGTTAGCCAGGATGGTCTGGATCTCCTGACCTCGTGATCCGCCCACCTCGGCCTCCCAAAGTTCTGGGATTACTGGCGTGAGCCACCGCGCCCGGCCTGCCCATATCTCATATAAAACAGTTCCTCCGTCAGGAATCACATATTCTAAAATGCGTAGCATTTACTCTCTCTCCTTTCCCTCCCAAATCAAGCAGTTCAGTTGAACCTTCTACATGGTAAAACATGTAGGTAAGCGTAATTATAAATTCAGGGTAGGCTTCACAAAATAATCCCTCATGTCTAGCTTAAAATAAAAAGAGCATACATAATCATCAAATATCTAGCTATAATTGTTGGTACTGTGTTTTTCTGCATATATGTATCATATTGAAATGGGAAGTTACCTTGTCCCCCTCGCAGGCCGTGTAATGGGGTTGCTTCTTCAGTGCCCCGCTGCTCAAACCTCTAGGGGAGCATACAGACGGGCAGGCTATGGGGCTCCGACTGCACAGCAGTGTGTAGGGGTGAATGTTTGCAGCTCCTGAAGCCCCAGTGGGAGTGTGTCACAGGGTGCTCTTCTAGTTTTGCTCTTTTAGTTTTGCCGTCTATAGGTGGCTTGTGTTAAGCAGCTCCCTTAGACCTTCTACTTTGTCTCAGGGACAGAGGCTTTCTGTATCCCAGGTTCTTACCTTGATGTACCGAAAGAATCTGATCACACCTGGGCTTGGAGAATGATTGCAAGGTTTTATTGGGTGGAAGCAGCTCTCGGAAAGTCAGAAGGGGTGGAGTGGGAAGGGTTTCCCCTAGAGTCGAGCCGTTCAGCAGCCTGGGCTCTCCTCTGACTGCCCCAGCTAAACTCCATGTCATTCTATTTCTAATGGTCGGTGGCCTGCCAGGGTGCCCGTGCCTGTCGGTGTTTTACTCCGTATGTCCAGCCGTCAGTGTGTTACTCTCTGTGTCTAGCCACCTCTGTGTTCCTCCTCTGTTGTGCTCCTCTTGACATCCAGCCGCCTGTGTGTCTGCCGGCTAGGGCCTCGGGGGTTTTTATAGGCACAGAATGGGGGCGTGGGAGGCCAGGGTGGTCTTGGGAAATGCAACATTTGAGCAGGAAGGCAGGACTGCCTGTACTCACCTAAGTCTGCAGGGTGGAGCCCTAGTCAGGGACCACACCCTTACCCCCTTCCATATCATTTAAAGGGACCACACGCTTCTCTACCCAGGTCTTCCTCATTAATATTTTAAAATGAAAGTGAAGGTATCCATGTCCTTGAAGTTATTCAAAACAGCTCTAATCAATCATTTAGATAATGAATTATATATGTCATTAGAAGTCAGCAAATATTTAAAGTATTTATGACTAATAGCATGGTGCCTAATTTTGAGGGTCTCAAAGCTCAGTGGTGAGTACAAACACATAACTAGGAGACAGTGGACCGTGACACAGAGATTCCAATTCATAAGACACTCTTTTGTAAAAGGTTTCAGCGAAGTGTCAAGATTTTTATTAGTCCATGAAGACTGATTTTAAAGTTTACGGTGGGTGTAACTTGTTTAAAACAGAGTTTCATTAAGCTGATTTTTCTTTTAAAAACAAAATGGAACAAAACAAAAACCCAAAAACATTTACAGGATTCATCACAAGTAAAAGTTTTATCTGGAGCAAGATTTTGATAGAGAATGTTTGAAAAGAACAAAAGCTTAAATTGAAAAGACGTAAAGAAGGAAAAACAACAAATTAAACAAAACTAATATGCAAAAGTTAAAAAAATTAGCAAATAAACAAACCAAAACCATCACCATCAACAATCACAAAAGCAACAAAAATCTCTGTTATAAAATCTAATCACTGCTAATAATCCAACTATTCAAGATTCCCAGCATTCATACCAATTCTAATTTATCCAATATGTTATGCAAAATCCTGCCTTTTCTTATGCAATGCTGCATATTTTTATCACCCTCAATATCTGTGCTACAATTTCTCATGCATATTGCATCTGCTACTATAGTACAACTGTTCTGCCCAGTCTGGTAACTGAGGTTTTAGAATTCCAGTTACAAAGAAAAGCCCTCTCCTTGGGATCCAAGCTTGGAAGCAATTTCCTTCTTGCAAAGCCTCATGCCCAATTCCATGCAGAAAAATAAAAAACCTCACTGGCTGCAGCCGTACATCAGCCGTACAGTAGAGTATTTTAAGACGCAGAGTACTCATGTTCTATGTGATGAAGTTGAATGGACTTTCTGCTGAGAAGCAAGAAACCCAGGCTTTTGTACTGTTCTGACAGTGGCTCCCTATGCAAACACTTTTTTGGAACATACTTTCCTTGTCTGCAAATTAAATAATTAGTGAATTGTACTGCAGAATGTTTGCAGTTTAGGAATACTTACAGATAAATAAGTAGATAGATAGATGATAGATATATATAACACATGTGTTTATATACATAGACATACATAAGATATAGATGAAAATGGGTATAGATATATTTTCCAGAAAAATAATTTATAGTATCACTTAAACAGCACATTTTCTTTAAACTTATGGTTAGAACACTCCTACATTTGCTACATGTGTAACTTCAGATAAATCTTGTCAATGATGGAAGCTCTAATTTTTACACAAGCTAAATAGAAACCATAACATTACTTCCCTAATTTTGAGCAGCAAATTAACAAATACTTAGAATTTATCTAGCACAATACCTCCTTCCTAATTGTATTTCAATACATGAATGAAAACAATATTTTTATAAGTCTAGGTCATATTATCATCTTCTTTATTGCCAGGTAAAATTGGAAATTGAAAATTATTTTGAGTGTCACTTAGACCCAATAATTGTTTACCTACTGTGTTTTAATATTTGTGTTTTAACTTTACTTTCTGTTATTCGTCATTTCAAGTCTCCACAGTAATCCCCACCTGATCCTATCTACTTTTTCTTCTTCTCAGATGTAAAGTGACTCTGAAGTACCCTTTTCTAGAGATTCATATGGCCTATTTTTCATATTAAAACTTTTATTAATAGCAAAATAGACAAGTTAGATTTCCTCCAAATAATTAACAGTTACTCATGTCTTGTTGGTTTTTGAAAGGCTTATTATTTTATTTTGCCTACCAAAATTATTATTTTACCCTCACCTCATTTTACTTGAGCTTCTCTGCCTGGCCTATTGACTTTCTGAGATGAACTGCTTTTCAGTGTAACAGTTGACAGGTCTTTTGGCTTATACATTTATGAATAGAGCAGAATAGTGTTTAGAAGCTTTTGGAAAAAGCTTTTAAAAGGATGCTTAGTCTGGTCATTTGTAATCCACCAATGAGAGAAATATTGGGTATAAAGCACAGAGCACTTACCATTCTATATTGTTCTGCCCAAAGCATTTTCTTTGAGAAATATGGAATTATTAAGACTGAGCAGATAAGTTTCCTTTTTGAGTATTGAATATGATCACTTATCTCCATAACAATAAAGCTAATATTTTCTCAATGACCCTTCTTTCCTTTTATGCCCCAGATCTTCCAACCTAAATTACATATCTAAAATATATGTGATATGTCTTCATTTTTAATATTGCTTTTACCTGACATTTAGCCTTTGGCCATATATGAAGGCACTATCTTTGATCGTCATTCTTTCCGTACTTCTCTCACCAACTTGAATTCTTCTGTAATGCCAATTAGGTCTGTTTTCTTAATAGCACTGTATATCTTTGAAATGTCTGGATGACATCTCCATATTTTTTTGCTTTGTTATACACACATCAAATTTAGTAACCAGTTTGCATTTTTATTTTTATATCTTCTTTGATGATATTTGTGAGAACCCTAAAGATTTGTTCGAAGTTACAAATGAAAATATCTTAAAGACAACAAGAGTTCAAGTGTTTCATTAACATTATATTCATACCATACATTTTCAGATGTCCTAACTCATAAAGCTTCTCTCCCATGTACTACATATCTTTAAAATAGTGTATAATTTTTCTTTTTATAAAAATCAAATAGGGATGAGGTCTCACTAGGTCACCCAAGCTGGGCTCAATCTCCTTTCAAGTAATATTTTTGCCTCAGCCTCTCAAAGTGCTGAGATTACAGGCATGAGCCACGTTGCCCAGCCTATTTTATTTTTTAAAAAATTAGTAACTATGTACAGTATTTATTGCTTATGCAGTCTGAGAAATGTATTAACCATTTATAAACATGTTTTCTGTTTTTCTTCATAAATGACACTGTGAGTATACAGAACCTTGTTTTACAAGGGAAATGAGGCTGACATTGGTTAAGAAGTTTACTTAGCATTTCAAAATGCCATAAAAATAGAATTAAAATTAGAACTTAGACAATATGAATCCTGAGTGCACATTATAAACCAACATGTCCACCATCTCCTTGGTGATGCTAGTATGAAATATGCAGGACTAGGAACAGAGTGAAATAAATGAAGCACTTGCCTCAGGCACAAAATGGAAGGCTGTGCCACAAATCTCAGTAATCAAGGTTAAAAGATATTTTAATTGAATTTGTGCAGTAATCAATTTAAATGCAGAAATTTTCATAATGAAAATTTTGAAATCACATTTTAAGTGAAGACTGGCAGATTACTCATCACTTGTCTTGCCCCAGGTTCTCATGTGGCTTGACATGGAGCTGTACACTCATCCCAGATTTACTCAACATTTGAATATCTCTGTTCATCATAGATTTTTGCATTAATTTTGAGTTTTCAAAATATATTACCTCACACTATTATTTCATTATTGAATGTTTAGAGCCATCCTAAATTAGCACTTGAGGCAAGTGTCTTACTTGTTTCATCCTAGTCCTGGACTTGGGTATATGAGACCATATTGTTCATTCTCTATTATACTCATCAGGATACACATTAGATTCTCCATCTTGAAAACATATGGTAGGATTATATTTCCCAGTCCACTTTCAGTCTAGCTTTTCCATGTGACTTGCTTCAGCCACTAAAATATAAGCAGGATTTATATGACTTGGATTTGCATCCCTACCCAAATCTCACATTGAATTATAATCCCCAGTGTAGGAGGAGAGGCCTGGTGGGAGGTGATTGGATCATGGGGGCAGATTTCCCCCTTGGTGTTCTCATCATACTGAGTGAGTTCTCACGAGATCTGGTTGTTTAAAAGTGTGTAGCATCTTCCCTTTCACTCTCTTCCTCCTGCTCTGCCGATGTAAGACATGCCTGCTTCCCCTTCCACCATAAATGAAAGTTTCCTGAGGCTTTCCAAGCCATGCTTCCTGTACAGCCTGTAGAACCATGAGCCAATTAAACTTCTTTTCTTTATAAATTTCCAAGTTTCAGGCATTCCATTATAGCAGTGTGAGGATGGACTAATACAGGGTTAAATATGTGACACATGTTGAACACCTTGAAGAGTTGGTGCACAGTTTGCTGCATTCTCTTTCATTCATTTTCCAGATGGTAGAGGCTTTGTCAGGCTGTTATCAGGTTAGGATGGGGTCTTATAGAGCTTCAGGTCAACCTGCAATAGGCATTACTCTAGAATTAAATTGCTTTGGTTTTGAACCTCTGTGATTTGGGTCTTTATAGTTACTGTAGCATAACCTAGACTATTTTCACTCATATAATCCTTCAGCAAATTCAAATCTTTGCTAAATGATACATCCTGTGACATTAATCCTGATTCCCATTGGAAACTGCAAGCTGAACAAATCTCTCATCCCCTGTGCATGTGATGTTTCATTACCCTGCTCAATCTTTTCTGTAGCATTCTGTAATTCTATATATTACCAAATTATGATTCCATGTCTACAAAACTTTAATATTAAGCCTACAGGCTTATTCCTTAATAACCATCAAGAAAATTATCACTTTCAATGCAAATTGACCCTACAGCAATAACTGGAGTTGCCATTTTAGATTCACTGGTTAAAGCAAATAGAAGAGAACACAGAGCCCTGTGCTTTCAGTGCTTTGTGATCAAGGAAATCCCTGATGATATGCTTGGAACCTTGAAGTACTAGATGGTTCCCAAAATGGATGAGTTATTATTGAGTGTGAAAATTGTTCTTATTAATGCAATTTTAATGTCTAATGATGACTGAATATTTGGCTTTTTATCAGCGTAAATTCAATTGAGGGTCTCTCCAGTGGATGTTTCATATACTTTTTCATGTAGTGAGGTTGCTGCAGCCATATTAATTTTCTGTTACTTGCCTTGGAAAAGACTTGGAGTTTTGGAAGTTTAAGAGAGCAGAATCACTCTCTTAATAAAACTTATATAACTGACTTATTGGATTAAATTTTCTGACAAAATGTATGATGTATTGAAATTATACATCTAGGTGGCAAAATTTCAGGACACCCACTTACTGCTTCTCTACCAAGAGTCAGTAGTGGAAGTTGTGTGTATTTTGCTATTTATTTTATTAAATTAAATTAATTACATTACCAAGTATGTAAAATAATAAAATATATGTAAAAATATATTTTTTCTATTTTAAAAGCTTAAAAAGGACTCAATAATAAATATCCTCAAACAATTGTTTATCAATTTGTTATTTGAGAAATACATGATAAATATTAAAGAAAATATGAAACTGCAAGGATTCTGCACTAAGATTACTTCAAGGATATTTTAAAATTTTATTTACACTTTAACCCCAAAATGCTGTGTTGTGGGTATGATTTATGAAAGAAAAAATATAAACAACCCATACCCAGAGGGTCTTTGCAACACACAAAATTTTTGAATTCATATACATGTATATATATATTTTAAAGTAATTTCTGTTCTTTTACATTTGCTGAGGAGAGCTTTACTTCCCAGTATGTGATCAATTTTGGAATAGGTGTGGTGTGGTGCTGAAAAAAATGTATATTCTGTTGATTTGGGGTGGAGAGTTCTGTAGATGTCTATTAGGTCTGCTTGGTGCAGAGCTGAGTTCAATTCCTGGGTATCCTTGTTGACTTTCTGTCTCGTTGATCTGTCTAATGTTGACAGTGGGGTGTTAAAGTCTCCCATTATTAATGTGTGGGAGTCTAAGTCTCTTTGTAGGTCACTCAGGACTTGCTTTATGAATCTTGGTGCTCCTGTATTGGGTGCATATATATTTAGGATAGTTAGCTCTTCTTGTTGAATTGATCCCTTTACCATTATGTAATGGTCTTCTTTGTCTCTTTTGATCTTTGTTGGTTTAAAGTCTGTTTTTTCAGAGACTAGGATTGCAACCCCTGCCTTTTTTTTGTTTTCCATTTGCTTGGTAGATCTTCCTACATCCTTTTATTTTGAGCCTATGTGTGTCTCTGCACGTGAGATGTGTTTCCTGAATACAGCACACTGATGGGTCTTGACTCTTTATCTAATTTGCCAGTCTGTGTCTTTTAATTGGAGCATTTAGTCCATTTACATTTAAAGTTAATATTGTTATGTGTGAATTTGATCCTGTCATTATGATGTTAGCTGGTTATTTTGCTCGTTAGTTGATGCAGTTTCTTCCTAGTCTCGATGGTCTTTACATTTTGGCATGATTTTGCAGCAGCTGGTACCGGTCGTTCCTTTCCATGTTTAGTGCTTCCTTCAGGAGCTCTTGTAAGGCAGGCCTGGTGGTGACAAAATCTCTCAGCATTTGCTTGTCTGTGAAGTATTTTATTTCTCCTTCACTTATGAAGCTTAGTTTGGCTGGATATGAAATTCTGGGTTGAAAATTCTTTTCTTTAAGAATGTTGAATATTGGCCCCCACTGTCTTCTGGCTTGTAGGGTTTCTGCCGAGAGATCCGCTGTTAGTCTGATGGGCTTCCCTTTGAGGGTAACCGGACCTTTCTCTCTGGCTGCCCTTAACATTTTTTCCTTCATTTCAACTTTGGTGAATCTGACAATTATGTGTCTTGGAGTTGCTCTTCTCGAGGAGTATCTTTGTGGCGTTCTCTGTATTTCCTGAATCTGAACATTGGCCTGCCTTGCTAGATTGGGGAAGTTCTCCTGGATAATACTACTTTAAAGTTCATATGGAACCAAAAAAGAGCCCGCATCACCAAGTCAATCCTAAGCCAAAAGAACAAAGCTGGAGGTATCACAGTACCTGACTTCAAACTATACTACAGGGCTACAGTAACCAAAACAGCATGGTACTGGTACCAAAACAGAGATATAGACCAATGGAACAGAACAGAGCCCTCAGAAATAACGCCGCATATCTACAACTATCTGATCTTTGACAAACCTGACAAAAACAAGAAATGGGGAAAGGATTCCCTATTTAATAAATGGTGCTGGGAAAACTGGCTAGCCATATGTAGAAAGCTGGAACTGGATCCCTTCCTTACACCTTATACAAAAATCAATTCAAGATGGATTAAAGACTTAAACATTAGACCTAAAATCATAAAAACCCTAGAAGAAAACCTAGGCATTACCATTCAGGACATAGGCGTGGGCAAGGACTTCATGTCTAAAACACCAAAAGCAATGGCAACAAAAGCCAAAATTGACAAATGGGATCTAATTAAACTAAAGAGCTTCTGCACAGCAAAAGAAACTACCATCAGAGTGAACAGGCAACCTACAAAATGAGAGAAAATTTTCGCAACCTACTCATCTGACAAAGGGCTAATACCCAGAATCTACAATGAACTCAAACAAATTTAGAAGAAAAAAACAAACAACCCCATCAAAAAGTGGGCGAAGGACATGAACAGACACTTCTCAAAAGAAGACATTTATGCAGCCAAAAAACACATGAAAAAATGCTCATCATCACTGGCCATCAGAGAAATGCAAATCGAAACCACAATGAGATACCATCTCACACCAGTTAGAATGGCAATCATTAAAAAGTCAGGAAACAATAGGTGCTGGAGAGGATGTGGAGAAATAGGAACACTTTTACACTGTTGGTGGGACTGTAAACTAGTTCAACCATTGTGGAAGTCAGTGTGGCGATTCCTCAGGGATCTAGAACTGGAAATACCATTTGACCCAGCCATCCCATTACTGGGTATATACCCAAAGGCCTATAAATCATGCTGCTATAAAGACACATGCACACGTATGTTTATTGCGGCATTATTCACAATAGCAAAGACTTGGAACCAACCCAAATGTCCAACAATGATAGACTGGATTAAGAAAATGTGGCACATATACACCATGGAATACTATGCAGCCATAAAAAATGATGAGTTCATGTCCTTTGTAGGGACATGGATGAAACTGGAAATCATCATTCTCAGTAAACTATCGCAAGAACAAAAAACCAAACACTGCATATTCTCACTCATAGGTGGGAAGTGAACAATGAGGTCACATGGACACAGAAAGGGGAATATCACACTCTGGGGACTGTTGTGGGGTTGGGGGAGGGGGGAAGGATAGCATCGGGAGATATACCTAATGCTAGATGACGAGTTAGTGGGTGCAGTGCACCAGCATGGCACATGTATACATATGTAACTAACCTGCACAATGTGCACATGTACCCTAAAACTTAAAGTATAATTAAAAAAAAAATGTAAAATATAAGTTATGAGTGTATCATTTTTATGAGTTATAATTTTAACTGAACTTTTTCATTAACCTATCCACTATGGGCTCTAACAGCATTAGATAAAAGGGTTTCTAGCATATAATTTTTTTGAACTGGATGATATTCTACAGGTCATCTATTCCTACTATCCTCACTCCAGCTCTTTTTTTTAATTTTAAGGAATGTATCATCAAAATATTTAAATGGCTTGAAAAAATTACATAGAAACTTAGTGCTAAAAAAGACTGGAAAACGTCTTCAGATTTCTACTCTAGATATTATTTTTACTTAATGTGGCTTTCTACTTTTCCCCCCTCTTTTAATTCCATTGACAAAAGCAAATAAACAAAAAGCAAGTGTTTTCTTCCTTGGTATACAAACTGTACTTTCTTAATTTGGTTCCTCCCAAAAGTAGATCCTAGGAGAAAGATTTGTGGCAGGTAGTTTATTTAGAGATGATCTCAGGAAGTACACGACAAGAAGGGGAAATGGGGGAAAGAAAGCTAAACTAATAAAGTGTGTCGATGAGTGGATTACTGTTGTGAATCATTTGGGAGCAACTCTTTTAGGGATATTCTGAAAAATCATGTAGTACCTACTTTAGAATATTCTCATTTTAAGATGAGATGATTGGGAGATTTATCCACTTCCTGTTGCTTCTCATTGGCTGATGTTTGCACTTAGAAAATCACCTCTCTTAGATTTTCAGGTTGCACTTCTTCACCACTAACTATTCTGTTTCCCGAGAAAACACACCTGAAGGAAAACAGACTCATACTATAATAAACTTGGTGCTGTCTGCCTTCCAGAATAGGTATACTACACCTATACGTGAACTCAGAGGTGGGATGAATTGACACAAGGCATTGCATCACGTTATCTGCTACAGTTACATTAGACACACAAATAAATGGGTCAACACTCTATTTGCTAGAAGATAGGCATCTGGAATTCTTTGGTTTTTCATAAAAATTCATTTATAAACTATGCCTGACTCATTTTTTCCTGTTATGATTATGGACAGCCATATTCTTAAAATTGACTATGCTATTTTAACTCTTACATACCATTTTGTTTAAAATGATTACTGAATTATTTCTATCCTGTGAATAATTTATTTGTTACCCTTGTAGGTAACATAAGCTCTTGAACAGTCAAAGTCCCCAAAGTTTTGTGTATATAACTGTGATAGTACAGTTTTATTTTAATAGTAAATACATAATTGTCAGAGAATTATAAAACACATTAGGATCTTTCTCAAGATGCTTTGTAGCTTGTCATTCTACCCTTGAACTGTAGTTAACATTGCTTATACGCATATTGTGGTGTAGAACACAGCCTAATGTTTGGTCAATGATTTTAGTGATCTATTCTTTTATACACAGTTTCATATCTCAAATTCTTCATCATTTTCTGTTTTGCTTTGGAGATTCTATTACCACTTTGGCATAAAAACTTTGGGACCCTTCTTACCTTTGTTAAACCACACCAATAATCTAATCAGGGAACATAGACAAGTGGCAATCTTTCAAGAAGACACATCCCTAATAATATTTAAAACAAAACCTGAAAGCTCTAAATGGGAAAATCAAATATACATGCAATGCTCCTGAAATTATTATCATATTCTTATTGTTGCTTTGTTTTGTTGTTGTTGTTGTTTTTGTTTTCTCCTTTTATTCCAGGCTTACATTTTATGAAAAGCTGTGGTGCTGCCAAAATAGTTAATAAATAATAGACCATCTTTGTTAAATATTCTCCACTTTATTAAAGTAGAAGTGCACACTTCAACTTGAGGTCAGGTCAAAATAAATGTAATTCTTTTTTTTTTTTTTTTTTTTTTTTTTTTTTGAGACGGAGTCTCGCTCTGTCGCCCAGGCCGGACTGCGGACTGCAGTGGCGCAATCTCGGCTCACTGCAAGCTCCGCTTCCCGGGTTCACGCCATTCTCCTGCCTCAGCCTCCCGAGTAGCTGGGACTACAGGCGCCCGCCACCGCGCCCGGCCAATTTTTTGTATTTTTAGTAGAGACGGGGTTTCACCTTGTTAGCCAGGATGGTCTCAATCTCCTGACCTCATGATCCACCCGCCTCGGCCTACCAAAGTGCTGGGATTACAGGCGTGAGCCACCGCGCCCGGCCTAATAAATGTAATTCTTAAATCCAAAACCAGATCAAGACTTTGTGTTAATGTAGTGGTTAATAACACCATGACTCAAAACTTGATATCCAAAGTTACAGTAGTGACAGCCGAGTGATTTTTAGCTTTTCTCTTTCCATGGACTGTTCAGAGGTAGGAAACTTCAGGCTTTATTGGATTTCTGTCAATTGATAGCTTCTATTTTGCAAAATTTTGCTAGGATTTTTTTTTTAAATTTTCATCACTTGTGGGTATACATTAGTAGTTATTTTATGGAAACAGAGAGGTTTCTCTTTTATTAGTTTTGGTTCCAGCTATAATCCTAATTTGATTCAGAAAAGCAGGAAGCCATCGCTGCAATAATAAGCTTGGTACGTAATGTTCCTTCATTTGAGACAATGTTATAGACAATATCAAGCTTCAGATGCTGTACTTCGTCTCCAGGCAACGTCTTCCCTTCAGCACAGCAGCAGTTTTCAGATTACAAAATTCTGATTTTGCTAAACTTAGTTTATCCAGAGTTAACGCACTATGCGTTTTCACACTATTACTCATGTAAGTAATTATAGGTAATACAAATAAATAGTCACCAAAAGAATATTTTATTTTCTTCTTTATGTTTTAGTAAGTGGCTCACTTTCTTTTATAATTTATACCTTGCAAGTTGAATTGAAGCATTAAATGTTAAATTTCATCACAGTAAACATTTGAATTATAAGTGAATAGAAAACACAATATCAAACGATTTGCTGTAATGGCAGAAAGCAGCACATACTTTGCCTCCTGGCGATAAAATTTAGGAGCTAGAAGGAAGTCCTTCCTATTACAAATGAAGAAATTTAGGCCCAGGCCTATGAAGTGACTTGATTTGGTATAGCTAAAGATTAGGTCTTAGATTGGGACTAGAATTTATATTTTAGCAATGAAATTCAATGTTTAATATTTTCAGAAATAAATGGGTAACTACATGCCTATAAATACAGGTTTAATGGCTATACAATGTTTCAAATAAAAGATTATTTATTCTATGACTCCTACCTCTCTCACATACCATAGTATAATTTCCAAACTACTGTCTCCTTCTGATTAAGTTCATGTCTTTTCTAATAATTTTTCCACTTCATTACTTATCTGTTTAGGTGAACTTAAAAGAGTCTTTTGAATTTTAATTGTATTTAGTGATTTCTTTAAAAATTTATGAAATTCTGAAATTGTCATTAGATCATATATTTGTATTTTCTATTTCTCTGCTCAAATTCTCTAAATTTTAAATATTTCTTGGACATGTTAATCACACGTATTTGTAGTCTCAGTCACTAATCTGACTTTTCTCTGGGCTTTGTATCAAACCTTTTAAAAACTATTTTTATGAAATTTTTATCATCTTATGTATCAGATTACAGTGATAATATGTGATTGTTATGATTTTATATAACTTAAGAGACAATGTATTTTGCTTATGTCCAGTGTTAAAGCTAGAAAATTATATTATTTCAATTATTTGAGTCAGTGTTCCCGGTTCTATGTATTGCTAAATAACCGTCATTAAAAGACAACTGAAACTTGTTTATTTTACCAGGGTCAATTCTTTTTTGCAGAACTTAATCTTCAATTATTTGTTCTCCTGCCTCAGTGAAGCTGCTAAATTTCTCAGGCTCTCCACTTCCACTTTAGATATGGCAATTTTGTCTTGGAGAAAATGGATACCAATTGTTGATCTGCCATTTCTAGTCTTTTCTTTGTTCAGGGGTCATGGTCAGGGACCATAGTTAATATGGTTTGGCCCTGTGTCCCCACCCAAATCTCACTTTAAATTGTAATGCTCATAATCCACATATGTCAAGGATGGAGCCAGATGGAAGGAATTGAATCATTGGGGCAGTTTCCTCCATGCTGGTCTCATGATGGTGAGTGAATCTCATGAGATCTGATGGTGTTATAAGCATCAGGCACTTCCCTTGCTTGCAGTAATTATCTGTCTTACTGCTCTTTGAAGAGGTGTCTTCCACCATGATTGTATGTTTCCTGAGGCCTCCTCAGACATGCGGAATTGTAAGTCAATTAAACTTCTTTTCTTTATAAATTACAGTCTTGGGCATTTCTTCACAGCAGGATGAGAACATACTAATACAGTAAATTGCTACCAGGAGTGGGGTGCTTCTGTAAAGATACCTGAAAATGTGGAAACGACTTTGGATTGGGGAAAAGGCAGAGACTGAAACAGTCTGGATGGCTCAGAAGAAAACAAGAAGTGCAAAAATTTGGAACTTCCTAGAGACTCGTTGAATGGTCTTGAATGAAATGCTGATAGTGATATGGACAATGAAGTCCAGGCTGAGGTGGTCTCAGATTGAGATGAGAAACTTGTTGGTAACTGGAAAAAAGGTGACTCTTGCTACACTTTAGCAAAGAGACTGGTGGGATTTTGGCCTTGCCCTAGAGATCTGTGGAACTTGAGAGTGATGACTTAAAGTATCTGGCAGAAGAAATTTCTAAGCAGCAAAGCAATTCAAGATGAGATTTGGGTGTTCTTTTTTTATTAAAAAACTTTTATTATATTTAGTGTGCATGGATGATAAATTCTTTTTTTATTATTATACTTTAATTTCTACGGTACATGTGCACAACATACAGGTTTGTTACATAGGTATACATGTGCCATGTTGGTTTGCCACACCCATCAACTCATCATTTACATTAGGTATTTCTCCTAATGCTCTCCCTCCCCGAGTCCTCCACCCCCTGACAAGCCCCAGTGTATAATGTTCCCCACCCTGTGTCCATGTGTTCTCATTGTTCAACTCCCACCTATGAGTGAGAACATGTGGTTTTCTGTCCTTGTGACAGTTTGCTTAGAATGATGGTTTCCAGCTTCATCCATGTCCCTGCAAAGGACATTAACTCATCCTTTTTTATGGATGCATAGTATTCTGTGGTGTATATGTGCCGCATTTTCTTAATCCAGTCTATCTTTGATGGGCATTTGGGTAGGTTCCAAGTCTTTGTTGTTGTGAATAGTGCCACAATAAACATACGTGTGCATGTGTCTTTATAGTAGCATGATGTATAATCCTTGGGTGTATACCCAGTAATCGAATCACTAGGTCAAATGGTATTTCTAGTTTTAGATCCTTGAAGAATTGCCACACTGTCTTCCACAGTAGTTGAACAATTTATTCTCCCACAAACAGTGTAAAAGCATTCCTATTTCTCCACATCCTCTTCAGCATCTGTTATTTTTTGACTTTTATTGATCGCCATTCTAACTAGTGTGAGATGGTATCTCATTGTGGTTTTGATTTGCATTTCTCTAATGACCGGTGGTGATGAGCATTTTTTCATATGTCTGTTGGCTGCATAAATGTCTTCTTTTGAGAAGTGTCTCTTCATATTTTTGCCCACTTTTTGATGGGGTTGTTTGTTTTTTTTTTCTTGTAAATTTAAGTTATTTGTAGATTCTGGATATTAGCCCTTTGTCAGATGGGTAGATTGCAAAGATTTTCTCCCACTCTGTAGGTTGCCTGTTCACTCTGATGAGAGTTCCTTTTGCTGTGCAGAAGCTCTTTAGTTTAATTAGATCCCATTTGTTTATTATGGCTTTTGTTGCCATTGCTTTTGGTGTTTTAGTCATTAAGTCTTTGCCCATGCCTATGTGCTGAATTATATTGCCTAGGTTTTCTTCTAGGGTTTTTATGGTGTTAGGTATTACGTTTAAGTTCTAATCCATCTTGAGTTAATTTTTGTATACGGTGTAAGGAAGGGATCCAGTTTACGCTTTCTACATATGGCTAGCCAGTTTTCCCAGCACCATTTATTAAATAGGGAATCCTTTCCCCATTGCCTATTTTTGTCAGGTTTCTCAAAGATCAAATGGTTGTAGATGTGTGGTGTTATTTCTGAGGCTTCTGTTCTGTTCCATTGGTCTATATATTTGTTTTGGTACCGGTGCCATGCTGTTTTGGTTACTGTAGCCTTGTAGTATAGTTTGAATTCAGGTGCATGATGCCTCCAGCTTTGTTCTTTTTGCTTAGGATTGTCTTGGCAATGTGGGCTCTTTTTTGGTTCTATATGAACTTTAAAGTAGTTTTTTCCAATTCTGTGAAGAAAGTCAGGGGTAGCTTGATGGGGTAGCATTGAATCTATAAATTACCCTAGGCAGTATGGCCATTTTCACGATATTAATTCTTCCTATCCAAGAGCATGAAATGTTCTTCCATTTGTTTGTGTCTTCTTTTATTTTGTTTAGCAGTGGTTTGCAGTTCTCCTTGAAGAGGTCCTTTGCATCCCTTGTAAGTTGGATTCCTAGGTATTTTATTCTCTTTGTAGCAATTGTGAATGGGAGTTCACTCATGATTTGGCTCTCTGTTTGTCTATTTTTGGTGTATAGGAATGTCTGTGATCTTTGCACATTGATTTTGTATCCTGAGACTTTACTGAAGTTGCTTATCAGCTTAAGGAGATTTTGGGCTGAGATGATGGGGTTTTCTAAATATACAGTCATGTCATCTGCAAACAGAGACAATTTGCTTTCCTCTTTTCCTAATTGAATACCCTTTATTTCTTTCTCTTGTGTGACTGCCCTGGCCAGAACTTCCAACATTATGTTGGATAGGAATAGTGAGAGAGGGCATCCTTGTCTTGTGCCGGTTTTCAAAGGAAATGCTCCAGTTTTTGGCCATTAAGTATGACACTGGCTGTGGGTTTGTCATAAATAGCTCTTATAATTTTCAGATATGTTCCATCAGTACCTAGTTTATTGTGATTTTTTATCATGAAGTGCTGTTGAATTTTGTCGAAGGCCTTTTCTGCATCTATTGAGATAATCATGTGTTTTTTGTCATTGATTCTGTTTATGTGATGGATTTCATTTATTGATTTGTGTAGGTTGAACCAGCCTTGCATCCCAGGGCTGAAGCTGACTTGATGGTGGTGGATAAGCTTTTTAATGTGCTGCTGGATTCAGTTTGCCAGTATATTATTGAGGATTTTTGCGTCAATGTTCATCAGGGATATTGGCCTAAAATTCTCTTTTTTTTGTTGTGTCTCTACCAGGCTTTGGTATCAGGATGATGCTAGCCTTATAAAATGAGTTAGGGAAGGTTCCCTCTTTTTCTATTGATTGAAATAGTTTCAGAAGAAATGGTACCAGCCCCTCTTTGTACCTCTGGTAGAATTTGGCTGTGAATCTGTCTGGTCCTGGACTTTTTTTGGTTGGTAGGCTACAACTTGGGTGTTCTTAAAGGCATTCAGTTTTATATATTCACAAAGATATGGTTTGGAATTATAACTTATGTTTAAAAGAAAAGCATAGCATATAAATTTGGAAAAATTGCAGCCTAACGATGCAATAGAAAAGAAAAACTCATTTTCTTAGAAGAAATTCAAGACAGCTGCAGAAATTTGTATAAGTAATGAGGAGTCAAATGATAATTACCAAGAAAATAGGGTAAATGTCTCCAGGGCATGTCAGAGGTCTTCACGGCAGCCCTTCCCATCACAGGTCTGTAGGACTAGGAGGGAAAATTGGTTTCATGGGCCTGGCCTAGTACCCTGCTGCTCTATGTAGCCTCAAGACATGGTGCCCTGTGTCCCAGATGCTTCAACTCCAGCCATGGCTAAAAGGGGCCAAGATACAGCTTCAGCCATGGATTCAGAGGGTGCAAGCCCCAAGCCTTGGTGGCTTACACATGGTATTGGGCCTGTGGGTGCACAGAAGTCACGAACTGAGGTTGGGGAACCTCTGCCTAGATTTCAGAGGATGTATGGCAATGCCTGGATGTCCAGGCAGAAGTCTGTTGCAGTGGTGGAGTCATCATGAAGAACTTCTGCTAGGGCAGTGAGGAAGGAAAATGTGGGGTTGGAACACTCACACAGAATCCCCAAAGGGGCACTGCCTAGTGTAGCTGTGAGAAGAGGACCAGCATCCTCCAGACCCCAGAATAGTGGATCCACTGAAAGCTGGAGCAGTGTGTCTGGGAAAGCCTCAGACATATAATGCCACCCTCTGAAATCAGCTGGGAGGGAGGCTGTAGCCTGAAAAGCCTCAGGAGTGGAGCTGCCCAGGGCCATGGGAGCTCACCACTTGCATCAGCATTAAGAGGATGTGAAACGCAGAGCCAAAGAAGATCATGTTAGAAGTTTAAGGTTTAATGACTGCTCTATTGGATTTCAGATTTGCATGGGGCCTATAGCCCCCTTTGTTTTGGGCAATTTCTCCCATTTTGAATGGATGTATTTACCCAATGCCTGTACCCACTTTGTAACTAAGAAGTAACTAACTTCTTTTTGATTTTACAGGTTCATAGGCAGAAGGGACTTGCCTTGTCTCAGATGATAATTTAGATTTGGATTTTGGGGTTAACGCTGGAATGATCTAAGACTTTGGGGACTGTTGAAAGGACATAATTGTGTTTTGAAATATGAGGACATGAGATTTGGGAGGGGTCAGACAGAATAATATGGTTTGGCTTTGTATCCCCCCTCAAATTTCACCCTAACTGGTAATCCCCATAATCCTCATGTGTCAAGGTGGGACCAGTTGGAGGTAATTGAATCATGGGAGTGATTTTCCCTACACTGTTCTCATGACGACTGAGTCTCATGAGATTTGTTGGTTTTATAAGCATCTCCCATTTCCCCTGCTTGCACTCATTCTCTCTCCTGCTGCTCTGTGAAGAGGTGACTTCCACCACGATTGAAAGTTTCCTGAGGCCTCCCCAGGCATGAGGAACTATGAATAAATTAAACTTTCTTTCTTTATAAATTAATATTGGTGATATGGTTTGGCTCTGTGTCCCCACCTAAATCTCATATTGTAGCTCCCATAATTCCCATGTGTTGTGGGAGGGACCCAGTGGGAGATAATTGAGTCATGGGGGCAGGTATTTCCTGTGCTGTTCTCATGATAGTTAATAAGTCTCACAAGATCTGATAGTTTAAAAGATGGGATTTTCCCTGCATGAGGTCTCTCTCTTTGCCTGCCACCATCCATGTAAGATGTGACTTGCTCCTCCTTGCCTTTCACCATGATTGTGAAACCTCCCCAGCCATGTGGAACTGTAAGTCCATTAAACTTCTTTTTCTTTCCAGTCTCAAGTATGCCTTTATCAGCAGCATGAAAACAGACTAATACACTTGGGTATTTCTTCATAGCAGCATGACAATGGACTAATACAATAGTATTTCAGCTTCTCACTGACTTTTCAAACTTCTGATGCTTTTAAGAAGAATTTTTAAGAGGTGCTTTCCCCAGAAAAGGTGCAGTGGCTGATGCCTGTAATCCCAGCACTCAGGGAGGCCAAGGCAGGTGGATAACCTGAGGTTAGGAGTTTGAGACCAGCCTGGCCAACATGGTGAAACCCCATCTCTATTAAAAATACAAAATTAGCCAGGCGTGGGGGTACACACATGTAGTCAAGCTACTCAGGGGGCTGAGACAGGAGAATCACTTGAACCCGGGAGGTGCAGGTTGCACCACTGCACTCCAGCCTGGGTGAGACAGAGTGAGATTCCATCTCAAAAAAAAAAAAAAATGAAAGAAAAAGAAATATTTGCTCCTGAGTTCCTAGGTTCTTTTGAAAAGGTTATTCTGGACAAGCTGGCCCACAATTACAAAGGGAAGACTCATATTTAATTATTTTATAGCTCCAATGTGAGTAGACATTACATTGAAGGCTAAGATTAAACCCCCAAACTTATTTCAATCTTTAAAATGTTTGAGTGCTAAGCATAAAAAGTTATCATCTTATAGTCATTTAATTAAACTACATCCCAACCTTCTGTAGGGATGTTCAATTAGGTATAGACTTTATAGTATTCACTGTAAGTCAGATCATGTTTAGATATAGGCATTCAACTATCATTCTCAGTAAAACAGAATCATTTGCATCTAAAAAACAAAAAAGGGTACAATTGATTGTGGATAATAGTTCTGCACATAAAGCCAGATCATTTTTGGATGCCCAAAGAAACGTTAATCCATACAGATGATTCGTGACCAATTGAGAATGTCAAAGATAGTGAAAGAAGTTTTATACTTTAGTATAACTATTTCTTGCAACCCTAAAAATGAAATATATTTTGGTATAAAAATCGCATCACTTAAAAAAACACACACATGCATACAAATGCATATACTTAGTGTATACACTGAACTAGCTATATGTAGAACAGACACAATTACTCCAGTGTGATGTAAATGGCACTACATTCCAAAATAAAATATCTCCCTCACTGAATTATCTGAAAGTCTGAAATTGCCCTTCTTAAGCGTTCTCATATTTTAATTCTATTGTCCTATTATGTTACCTGGAAGGGGCAACCCTTTGGAAGTTAATATTATTGGAGAAATACTTACCTAATCAACAACATAGTTATTCATTTTTTATGTGGTAGTAATAATAATAGTGCCTACCATTTGTCAAATGCCTGCTTTGTTCCCCAGTGAATACATATTGTGCCAGGGACTTAATGCATAAACTCACAAATATGTGAATCTCTGTGTGTGTATGTGTTCCTTTTTCTGGGATTATAGCCTTTCTAGTTTGCACTTGTCCTTTGCTATTTTTCACGTGTGTGTGTGTGTGTGTGTACACACATATATTTGGCTATGTAGGTATGAATATGTATATAATGTGTATATATACACTATCACTCAAAAAGGACATACACACATATATGTATATACACACACACACACACACACACACATATATATAGAGAGAGAGAGAGAGAAAGAGAGAAACCCACACAGCAACTCTAAATTTGTAGTTACTATTTTCTAGATTTCATAAAGGAAGAGCAAGAGGCTTAAAATGTTAAGGAACTTATGTACTGTAACCCAACTAAGAAATAGCCGACCTCAATTGCACATCTATGTTTTACAGGTGTGTGGGACAGGGCCTTCAGATAGAATTATCTATGAGTTTTATGATATTTTTATCATGAACTTATAGTTAAATTAAATCCAAAATAAAATAATTATAGGCCAGGCACGGTGGCTCACACCCATAATCCCAGCACTTTGGGAGGCTGAGGCAGGCAGGTCACCTGAGGTCGGGAGCTTGAGACCAGCCTGGCAAACATGGCGAAACCGCATCTCTACTAAAAGTACAAAAATAAGCCGAGCCTGGTGACGAGGGCCTGTAATCCCAGCTACTCAGGAGGCTGAGGCAGGAGAATTGCTTGAACCCAGGAGGTGGAGGTTGCAGTGAGCCGAGATCGCGCCCCTGCACTCTGCTGCCACTATAATAATAATTATAAATATTATTATTAATTATTATTATTATCTGATCATCTATGTTACAATCTCATGCCAATTTCTGACATTCTCTTAACCAATTGCTTAAGTACTTTTCTTTATTTACAGCTGAGTTGCATTATGTTGTACTACATTACTTGAGTTAATGGGAAAAAAAATCAGGGTAATATGCATTAATTAATTACATAATAAATATGACTGAACATATTTGAAATGTTTGAGTCATTATTAGGTATAAGGTTGTACAAACATGCCAAACTTAATAAACCTTTATGTATAAGTCAATTGTATATTAATATTAGGACAAGAAATTAATTTCAGAAATTTTCAGAAATTTATTGTGTACTTGAAATTAATATTGTTAATTGGTAACTGTATTGGTTTACAATTGCTTTGTAATTAAATGACATTTTTAAAAATATATAAGAACCATTAGCATTAATAGTTTCTACTTAGTTTTAAATGTACATATATTCAATACTATTGAACATAATTTAAGCCAATTGCAGGGTCAATGAGAGTTATTGTATTATAAGATGGATTGATATATTACTCTTGTTTTAGAAACCATGGGGTGGGAATAGTTAAGTTTTTATGAAGTCAGAACATTGAGGGCTTAATACACTCAGGCAGGTGGAGAATCTATTATAAAGTTAGAAATTGTGAGGTCATATGCATTTATTATGAGAAACCTGAAGATAATTCAGTATCAATTAGAAAGGTGGAGAAAGATACTATCATGTACATTTACCACTTTCTTATTTTTTCTGAATGTTTTATCTGAGCAACAGACTTCTCCATAATATGATAATTACCCAAAGACAGAGTAAATTCAAAATTCTACTCATCTTTAGGGTACTTTGTCTTATAAAACATAATCTTTCAGGAAAACACATCTTAAAATTTTAAATGATTTTCCTTTTTTAAAAAAGCAATAGAGTTGACTTCTAAATATATGGTAATCTAAAAAGAAAATATGAATACATATTCATGTAAATAGAGAAAACCAAATATCAGAACAAAATATACATGTCTGTATAATATGCACCCTTTTCAGTGCATCCCAAATTACTCTACATTTAAAATATTGAATTCTAACGAAGTACCAAAGAGGTCACTTTGCAAGTCATTTTACATTTATGGCATATAGAAATAAAATTTTAGTGTTTGAAATATATCATCTTCTAATCCTCTTTTTAACTGCCTTCTAAGTTGCAATCCCTTCATCATTTTAAGTAGGCATTCAGTATGAAATATAAACGTTCACATGTTATTGATCAGGACGAGTAAAACTAGCTTTTATTTATTTTATTTGAGAAATGAATATTAAACTTTTCTATCAGTTTAATGAAGAGACTTATTTCTTTTTTTAGAGTCATTCAAATAAGGATTTTCTTTATAGAGATTTGTGCTTGTAAAGACCCAGATAAACTTAAAGTATCAACCAATGAGTATAAGAATCCTGACACTGGGGTCATGATATGATTGACTTTGCATGAAAACTGCCGGGTGTACAGGTGGCAGATGCAGTGAAGCTGAGAAAACTGGAGCAGAGGGTCTTTTGCTAGATGGGTGACTTGCATTTAATTTACTTACTGAAACAAGAAATAAGCATCAGTATACAATTATATATCCCAAAAATATTTACATGATAGATATTAAATTCAATAAATAGTATCCATTTCTGAAGCAACACACAAAAATGTCTAATTTATAAACACATAAGGAAAAAATATGATAAGAATTTAATTAATCCCATAAAATTGGGGGGAAATAGAGCTGACAGGGTTGCATCACCATTGAAAGAGAGGTCAGTGGGTACAAAGTTACAATTAGAAAGGAAGAATAAATGTCATTGTTCTATAACACTGTAGGGTGACTGTAGCCAATAACAAATGTGGTGTATATTTCAAGAGAGCCAAAAGAAAAAGTTTTGAATGTTGTCACCTCAAAGATATGATAAATGCTTAAAGTGATGGATATGGTAATTGCCCCGGTTTGATCATTATACTCTGTATACATGCATTAAAATATCACAATGTACCCATAAATATGTACAATTATTAAACCTTGTGTCAATTAAAATCAAAAATTAAGTAGAGAAAGAGAAAAAAAGGATAAGTTTCAGCTTGTCAACTTCTGAAAACAAACAAACAAACAAACAAACAAACAAGGCATCTGGGCCTTTGACAGGGATCTCATTAAATCTGTTAGATCAGTTTGGGAAGTATTAATATCTTTATAATAGTAAATTTTCCAATCCACGAATACAGGATCTCTTTCTATGTGCATAAATATTTTTGATTTTTTTCAGTGATGTTTCATAGTTTGGTGTATAAGACTTTTGCTTCTTTTTCTTAAATTTATTTTTAATTATTTTAAACTTTTTGATGTTATCGTACATAAAGTAATATTAATTTCATTTTTGGATTGTTACTTGTGATATATTTGTACGTGTGTGGGTGTATGTGTACATTATATGTTATATAATGTACACATATACATGTAACAATCCAAATACATAACATGTAATACATAACAATTATATAATATATAACAAGTATAATGTTATATAATATATAAAGTTATATAATACCAAATATTATATAATAAAATATTATATAATGCTTTTAGATAATTTATTAGACATCACATAATGTTTACCCATTATATAATATTATATAATGTTTTTAGACAATTTCTTGCACTGAGATTAAAACTAACTTAATAATTCATAAGAACCTAGTTTAATGAATACCAATTTATTTTTTATATATTGTAAACCCTTTGATCCTATGTAGTTCATTCTCTGTCAGTTCCTTTGTGCCTTTATTTCTCTAAAAATTTTATCATTCTACCGTGTATGCTTATTAACATAGATGTATAATTATTGCTTCATGAAGTGTGTTTATGATATAGAAGAAAAAAGTACTGTATTATAAACAAAATTTATTTATACTGTCTTTCTCATAACCTATGTAGTTACCTTTACCAGTGCTGTTTATATTTTCATGTGATTTGATTTACTATCTAGTTTACTTTCATGTTAACCTGAAAGACTTCCTTTTATAGGGCAGATATGCTGGTGAAGAATTTTCTGGTTTTGTTTATCTGGGGGTGTCAATTTTTTACTTTTTATTTCTGAAAAACTACTGCTGGAGGTAGAATTCTTGTTTGATTGTATTTTTTCTTTTAGGGCTTAGAACATGTCATTCTACAGCCTCTGAACTCCACAGTTTCTGATGAGAATCAGTTGTTAATCTCATTGACAAATTGTAGTGCATGATGTGATGCTACTTTATTCTTACTTTCAAGGTTCTTTTAACAAGTCTGATAATGATGGGACTAGTGTGACTCTCTTTGAATAAATTCTACTTGAAGTTTGGTGAGCTTCTTGAATCTACATATTAACATATTTTCATTATATTTGGGAATGTTTTTATCCAGTATTCCTTTATATATTTTCTCTGATACATTCTCTCTTCTTTTATGACTTTGATGTTTGTATGTTAGTATGTGTGATGGTCTTCCATGGGACTCTGAAGCTCTGCTCATTTCTCTTCATTCCTTTTGCTTTCTGTTCCCCAGACTGTATAGTCTCAATTTACCTATTTTTAAGTTTGGTAACTGTTTTTCCATCACCTCAAATGCTGTCAGTCTAACTATTTTTTTATTTGAGTTATTGCCTTTTTTAACTTCAGAATTTCTATTTTCTTCGTTTTCATGATTTTCTTTTACTATTCTCTATTTTATGAGAGAATATTCTGCTAATTTCCTTTAGTTCTAGAGGCATTACTTCTTATAACGTATATTCAAATATATTTAAAACAGCTGGTTTAATGTCTTTATGTAATAAGTTTAATGCCTGGGCTTCCATAAGGATGGTTTCTATTGACTGCTTTTTATCCTATGTATGGACTGCACTTTCTTATTTTTTTGCATATTTCATAGTATTTTGTCGAAAACTTTACATTTGAACTAATATATATAGCCACTCTGAAATTCAAATTGCTCTGCTTTTCTGGGTTTATTGTTACTGCTGTTATTGTTTTTTTTTGAATTAGTTTAGTGATTTTCCTGATCTCATTCTATAATGTTGTCACTTGTGTGTGCCCACTTAAGTCTCTACTCAGATTTCTTGATGGTCAACTAATGATTAATAGATATTTAAATTTAATTGGTTCCTTAAATTCCTAGAACTAATAGGTCTTCCAACCTTTGTTGAGGAGCTCTGTGTGCATGTTACGGTGCATCTTCAACGCCCAGGCCTTTTACGTGTTGGCTTAATCTTCACTTCCTGGTTATGCAGAGCCTCGAGGTCTTCTAGAATTGAGATCTTAGGGTACTTTTAGGTCTCTCCCGGACACGCATACAGTCTTGGGCACACACACAGCCTTATGCTTATGTGTGCTGCTCAAGAATTTATCAAAGCTTCGCAAATTCAAATAATATATGAGATATTTTCAGAGTCCTTATGAACAGAACATTCCCAAGATTTTTCTTTAACTTGTATTTTAAAATCGGGGATACAGCCGGGGGCAGTGACTCATGCCTGTAATTCCAGCAGTTTGGGAGGCTGAGGTGGGTGGATCACGAGGTCAGGAGATCGAGACCATCCTGGCTAACACGGTGAAACCCCGTCTCTACTAAAAATACAAAAAATTAGCCGGGCGTGGTGGCGGGCACCTGTAGCCCCAGCTACTTGGGAGGTTGAGGCAGGAGAATGGCGTGAACCCGGGAGGCGGAGCTTGCAGTGAGCCGATATCGAGCCACTGCACTCCAGCCTGGGCCACAGAGCGAGACTCAGTCTCAAAAAAAAAAAAAAAAAAAAAAATCAGGGGTATATGTGCAGGTTTGTTATATAGGTAAATGGTGTGTCACAGGGGTTTGGTGTACAGATTATTTCATCACCCAGATGATAAACACTGTACCCAACAGGCTATTTTTCTATCCTCTTCCTCTTCCCACCCTTCACCCTAAAGTAGGCCCCAGTATCTATTGTTTCCTTCTTTGTATCTATTTGTATTCAGTGTTTAGCTCCCACTAATAAGTGAGAACATGTGGTATCTGGTTTTCTATTCCTGTGTTAGTTCACTTAGTATAATGACCTCTAGCTGCATCCATGTTTCTGCAAAGGACATAATTTCTTTCTTTTTTAAGGCTGTATAATATTCCACAGTATGTAAGTCCCACATTTTCCCATTAATGGGCATTTAGGTTGATTTCATGTCTTTGCTATTGTGAATAGTACTGCCATAAACATACACATGCATGTGTCTTTATGGTGGGATAATTTAAATTCTTCGGGGTGTATACCTAACAATGGGGTTGCTGTTTCAAATGGTAGTTCTGTTTTAAGTTTGTTGAGAAATCACCAAACTGCTTTCCACAGTGGCTGAACTAATTTACATTCCTTCCCAGTATATAAGTGTTCCATTTTCTCTGCAACCTAGCTAGCATCTGTTATTTTTTTTTCTTTTTTAATAATAGCCATTCTGACTAGTGTGAATGGTATCTCACTGTGGTTTTTATTTGCATTTCTATAATGATTACTGATGTTGAGGATTTTTTCATATGCTTGTTCAATGCTTGTATGTACTCTTTAGAAACGTGTCTGTTCATCTCCTTTGTCCCCTTTTTTAATGGGGTTGTTTGGTTTTTGCTTGTTAACTTAAGTTCCTTAAAGATTCTGGATATTAGACCTTTGTCAGATGCATATTTTCTTTAAGACTTTCATTTAAACTTTTCGATAAGCTTGTTGTTTCAGACAACTGTTACTGCCGCCTCAGTAGCTGTGATGTTCAACAATTGCTGTCGACTGTTTTTGATAAATACCCCCAGGGAAAAGATATTTAGATTGCGCAAGCTCTGACTCAGTTCAAGTGAAGAGCAGCCGTGCAAATTTCATTTTCCAAAGAAGTTTTATTTTCTATATATATTTTTTGAGACGGAGTCTTGGTCTGTCACCCAGGCTGGAGGGCAGTGGGGGTTCTTAGCTTGCTGCCACCTCCACCTTCCAGGTTCAAGCAATTCTCCTGCCTCAGCCTCCCAAGTAACTGGGATTACAGGCACATGCCTCCACACCCATCTAATTTTGTATTTTTAGTAGAGATGGTATTTCAACACGTTGGCCAGGCTGGTCTTGAACTCCTGATCTCAAGTGATCTGCCCGCCCCCCAAAGTCCTGGGATTACAAGCGTGAGCCACCATGCCTGGCACCAAAGAGGTTTTCGACAGGTCAAATTATGCCAACTATTTCAGAAAGGGAATTTGGAATCTCTCCTGTCACTGTAATTATTGTGCTTTTGGTTTTCAGCATAGAGCTGAGGGGAGAAGATGCAAATAAGGCATGTTAAAAAACAAGGCTCACTGTTTCTATCCGAGGTTCCATTTTTCTAGAATAAACATTACTTGAATTGTTGCAAGCCTTTCGTTAATTCCCACAGTTCAATGTAAGTTAGATAAACCGTTTTGAGGATTTATTTATTTATTTATTTATTTTTTTGAGACAGAGTCTTGCCTTGTCGCCCAAGCTGGAGTGTAGTGGCGTTGATACCGGCTCACTGCAACCTACGCCTCCTGGGTTCAAACAATTCTTGTGCCTCAGCTGCCAGAGTAGCTGGGATTATAGGCGTGTGCCACCATGCCCAGCTATTTTGAGGACTTTTAAATTTCGTTTTACAGAGGGAAGATTTTCAGAGATACTCTCCTATTCCCATTTTTAGAGTGTATTTTAGAAATAGCTCTTAGAGAAAATTTATGGTCTAAAATGCAAAGCATTTAGCAAAGAGAATATAAATTAAGTTTCCTCCAAAATATTAAAGCAAGTATAGCAAATCAAATTTAAATTTTAAAAAGGAAAACAGAGAGAAAAATCTAATTTAGTAAGCAAAAAGAATGACAATTCACTCTCATTTGAATTATATAGTAATAGAAAAAATAAAAATAAATAAATTCATGCTGTGAAAGCTTCATTATTTGTTAGTATATTAGGCCGAGTACTTGCTCTCGCCTGATAAAAATATTCTATAATATACCTTCTTTGCCAACAACACGCACACACACACACACACACACAGACACAGACACACACACACACACACAGGCATTCATGTATACACATATAACACTCACCTTATATTATTTGCTGGTAGAAAGTAAAAAATTCTTTTAAACTGAAGTTAGAGAAATGCTAATCTCAGTCTATGACTATTGCATAATGGTTTGCTTGTCTGTGTGTGTGAGTATGTGTGTGTTTGTGTTATTTTGTCATTAGCCAAAAATTTATAAGATATTTGATAATGGCCAAATTGATTAAAGCCTAAGTTCAATTGTCTGTCAGCATAATTTCCAATTGCATTCAATTTTGATATTAAATCCTTAATATATTTAATGCCAAGAATATTTAGAACACAATTAATAATTTACATTAAGTTATGGCCCCAATAGGGCTTTTCTGTGAGTCTCTTATTCAGAAAAAACAAAACAAAATCTCCAAATATCAGACAAGTTATGATTTAATAATTTTATAGTTTGGTACCATTATTTTAATTAGAATTTTTCCTGGACTTGACAAAACTATAAAATTATGTTTAACAATTTGCTTTCATGATAGCTAAAATAAAGGGAGGAGTATTTAAGTATCTTCAATACATTTGGTTTCATATCTCCTTACTTCTGTACCCTCTATGTCTGAACACCAACCAAAGAACTTATTTATGATCCACATTATTTCAACATCAACAAAGTGTAGGTTGGAAAACTGCTCTGTATGTTAAGTCAGTTTCATTTGATGAAGCGTTATTTGAAATAAAGTGAAACTCTTCTGCATTAGAGAAGGCAAACAAGGGTTTTACGTCTAAGAAATGTGGATTCATGTGACTATCATTTCCCTTCTCTAATACACTAGCTCATTATCTACATAGTAATGATTGTGTTGCTTACCTTCTTGTTATTAAAAGACTAGAAAAAGCTACCTCTTTTTAAATGAATCTAAGTCTATGTCTGGCATATGGTAGGTGTTAAAAGGAATTCGTTTGACATTGGCTGTTTTGTAGGTTGGCTTTTCCCTATTGATGAGCTGTTGAGTATGAACTGTAGAAAGGAATTCATGTTCTAATTCTCACTTCAATCCTAATGTTTGACCGAAACATTTAGTCTGCACTTTTCACTTCTCTCTCCTTCTTGTGAATATATAATTAGAGTTAGTTTTTTTCTAAATATTGGAACTAGTTTTTTTCTTTGAATTTTAACATTTTATTTTATGTTCTTTATATGCCATCATTGCTAGTTAAGTTTGGCATAAATCAACATTCGAGTAAGTCTAATAACCCCATCACTATTAGGTATTACCAACCTGATTTTACAGGTGTGAAATCTGAAGTAGAGAGGTTTAGTAATTTGTCCAAGAGTAAGTAGTGGAGGTTGGATTCAACCCCAGGTAATTTTAATTGACATGCTCTACAATCCTACAAAAACATGAACAATTAAAAAAAAAAACTATGTTTTGTCAGAGATAAATGCTAGAGGATAAAATAATAAATATGAAATGGAGATGATAAATTTAGTTGCTGAGGATTGTGTTTAATTATAAGCCATGAAGCCAGGCAAGGTCTCATGGTGTGGTGCAAGTGATGCTTGGTAAAAGCCTAACACAGAGGCAGCAGGTATGTGAAGAAAGTTTTCCAGCAGATGCAAAGACCCTCTGCAGACCTAGAGATTCTAGAAAAGAAAGCAGGGCAGATCCAGTGAAGCAGGGGTAGTTCTGGGGTGACAGAATATGTTCAAGCTTAATATAGTCAAAATAGAAATCCTGGTCATGGCATTAAAACATCCTCCACTGATGGGCTTCATGCTCCCTCCATTCGCCCTGGGCTGCAGTCAATACACTTGGATTTATTCTTGACTCCCTTCCCTTCACAAACTACAAAAAGTGCCTAGGGAAATCATGTTACCTTCAAATTATACCCAGGAACTACCCACATCTCTCTTGCCCCACTGCTACTCCGCCTACCTCTGAGCAGTTCAGTGCTCGTGAACAGGTGACTCAAAACACAGTGGTCCTGTGAGGGAGATTTGTGACTTCACTTCTCAGAACAGCAATGGCTCTTCATTGCTTTCATAGATAGATTCCTGCATTTGTTCTTATTGTTACTGTTGTGTTCTAGTCATTGATCATTTGCTTACTCTTTAGCCTGTGGCACCAAGTGAATATATTCAATTTGACAAAAAATTATATATGTGACAGTGCTGTAAAATTTTCAGCCATTTACTTTAAATTCACTAATTAGCTCTTCAATTGAGTGCAACCTGGCTATGTAATAGAGCATGTGTGATGATTACAGATTTACAAGTCAATGTGGCCAGGCTGTAGTATCCACTTATTTAATCAAACTCTAATCTAGGTGTTGCACTGAAGGTATTTTATAGACATGGTTTACTTCTACAATCAGTTAATTACCCTGATAATTAGGGCTGGCCTTATCCAATCAGTTGAAGGCTTGAATAGCAAAACAGATTTCTGGAAGGATAAGAAATTCTGCCTCAAGACTTCTGAATCAAGGAATTCTGCATCAAGTCCTGCCTGATTTCCAGCCTGTCAACCTGCCCCACAAATTTCAGACTTGCCACCCCAACAACAACATGAGTCGATTCCTTTTAAAACGCCTCTTATTTCACTAGTTCTTGTTCTCTAGACCACCTGAGTGACATGCTAACATGTTTATTTCATTGTTTTACTTCCTTTATCCTGAAGTTTCTTCCCATTACAGTCTATAGGACTTTCTGTGTTCTTATTCCTTTGTACATGTTTGCCAATTTATTTTGATATTTTTAATGATATTGCAAAAATGATTTTAATTATTTTTCTGAATGTTATTTGGTCTTTGTTTCTGGATAAGTGAGTCTAAGAGTCCCTATTCTAACACTGAGTTTCTTAAGATATCTGGTAAATTTTAGAGAGGTACTCACTGTCCTGTGTTGTCCACATTTCATGATGTATGTGTTCAGCAACTGACAATTCCATCTCAAGAAGGAAACATGCAAGATATGTGAGACCCAATACAGAGTCAAGTATATGTGCCTCCACACTAGTATTTTTGTGATTTTTCCCCCTTTTTTTTGAGACAGGGTTTCACTCTGTTGCTCAGGCTGGAGTGCAGTGGTGGGATCATAGCTCACTGCAGCCTCCATCTCCCAGGCTCAAGGGATCCTGTGTCTCAGCTTCCCAAGTAGCTGGACTACAGGTGATTGTCACCATGCTTGGTAATTTTTTTATTTTTTCTAGAGATGAGGTCTCACCATGTTGCCCAGGCTGATCTGAAACTCCTGACCTCAAACAATCCTCCATTTTTGGCCTCCCAAAGCATTAGGATTGCAGGTGTGAGCCACAGTGCCCGGCCAACACTAGTCTTTCAAAGAGGTCCTACTTGGAATATCCATTTTCTCATTATGTCCTGTCTTGTAAAATACTCTTTTCTCAGAGAGCTAGATTTTAGTGACACCAACACCCATTTATGTCGAATGCTTATGGAATGCCTAGAAATTCTGTTGTTTTTCCTGCAAGGAAGTGTAATCCAACAAGAACAAAACAGACATTAGAATTTGTTATATTGCAAATAATGGAAAGCCTCATTCAAACTGGATTCAATAATAAAGATGATTTAATGACCCACAAAATTAAAAACACAAGGCAAGATTAATGTAAGCCTTTATCTGCCAATTCAATTGTCACCCAGAATCTCTCTCTCTCTCTCTTTCTCTCTCTCTCTCTCCCTCCCAGTTCCCTTTTCTTCCTGTTTATCAGCTTCATCTTGCAGATATAAGATGGTTTCTAAAGTTGTAAAGAATACATGTTTCTTTATCCAGTTGAAGGGCAGTCCTTGTTCCAGCATTCCAGTGACTTGTAGATTGTTGTAGTCCCAGTACAGATAATTAGCACTAATTGTAATGGCTCGGGTTACTTATTCCTATTCCAATTACTGTTGGCAGAGATATGAAATGTACTGTCTGGCTTAGCACGAGTCAGATATTCTAGCTAGATGGCAGTTGGTAAGATGCAGTTTTCCCAAAATCAATGACAGGGACAGGAATGAATGTTGGGAAGACAAAAACAACAACAACAAAGTACCTTTACACTGAAAAATACAATAACAAAACAAAACAAGACAGAAATCACACAAAAATAATTGAGATTAAAAGTTATTTCAAGAATCAAATAAACCATAAAATAACAGAGACGTGGGAGTTCATTCAAAACTGTGGAAATGAGAGATTCAAATACCAACTAGAAACTCTGAATTTCTTTTCATCTTCTCTCCATTTTCTCTTCTCTTAGTTATGACTAGAATTTTCCACATAGCATAATTCTCAGCTCCTCAAAACTCAGAACTTTAAAAATAAAACTTGACTAGATATTCATGTGAGAGAGCTATGGAAAACCTTAGACCAGGACTCATTCATTCATCTTCTGACTCCTGCCCTCTCTGTTCCAATCAAGTGAGGCCATGGGAATTGGAACATTAAAAAACACCTTTGAAAGGAACTTAATGGTCAGACACGAAACAAGCTAGTATTTAATTAAAAGAGACATTGCTGCACAGAAAATACAAAATGTGTCCTCTCTAACCTGATTTTGATTGTAGTTTACCTGAACACCTTTATTCTAAAAAAAAAATCTATTTTTAATCTCTCCAGTTTATCCATGTCCTACTTTTATTTTCCATTCTAGACTTGTACACTAGTATTAGATCACATTAAGACTCAGAAACTCTTATCATCCCCCATTTTTTCTTTCATAGTAAAAGCACTTTAAATATATTTCACTAAGTCAGTTACAATGTTCACTTTAACTAACCGACTATATTTTATTTATTTCCCAGTATGGCAGGAATTATGTCTTATTCATATATATTCACAATGCCTTTTAAGAATAAATAAATTAATACTTTAACTTTGTGATATTTTTAGCTTAACTATGATACCTTGTCAAATCTTATGTGTTTGTCACATATCTACTCTTCTCTATAGATCCAAAATATCCTCGTTTTATATGTAAACTATAAATATACAACAATGTATTTTTAAAATTTAAGTATCTTTTCCTTCACTCTGTGTTGATCCATTGTTTGATCTAAATACAGTCAAAGTCTTCCAGAGATTCTATTTTTTCTTTTCTCATGATTCATTCTGTCAGTTTTCTCTCAATGCTCCTGAACTTCCCAGCACATTTCTTACTTTGGGAAAAGTGAACGACTATAAAATATTCTTTAAGGTTCATTGAAAATAATTAACACATAACTTTTTGGCATGTAGCTGTTATTTGATTTTCTCTTTCTCTACTTTAAAAAACTTCTTCCACTTTTTCCTACTTTTTTCCTTCCCCAGTGTTTTCATTTACAACTGAGAGATGTACTCTTTATATTTTTTAAGAATATTGGGGGAGAAAAAATCTCAGGGTATATCACGTTTTAAAATCATCAATTATTTTTTGCTTTTTATTTTTAGAGCTGACTTTCTGTCTTCCTAGGTTCTGCTTGGCTGATACTCTTCCAGTTTTTGGTCTGTGTGTTTGAATTGCTATTATATCTCCTGGAGGCTCTCCCTTCTCTCCAGTGAGGCTCATTTGTTTCTTTCAACAATTCTGTAAGGTAGACAAGGTAGGCATTATTATCAAGTGAATTCTGAAGTACTTGTTGGAAGTGTTGAGGTACTGAAAGTTCATGTAGAGTGAGCAGAGGAAATGCTACAAGTATGTTTTCAAGCATTATTTTAAAGTGATGCTGAATTGTTGTAGTGTGCTTGGTAGCTGACACTATAACTATTCTGGTAGCTGACAACCAAACAAGCTTACTTGAGAGAAAAGACTGAGTGGCCTGTGAATGTAAGATTTCAAATCCAGTTCATTTCAAATCTCAAACACATGCTCTTTTTAGTACGTGACACTGTTTTCTGCAGTTAGATGCTCTTGGCAGACATCGAAATAAATGTATCTTGACACACACTAATTATAATTTGATACAAGAGGGGTTGCAGCAGCAGGGAATCATGGTTCATTAAAATCCCAAATCACCCAGAATATCTTATAAACACTGCCAGAATATTTTTGTTAATTCTACCATGCCTGGTGAAAATGAATAATTGTTAGGTTCTGTCTCGTTCAATCCTTCACACAATTTTCACTTTTATTAAATTTTCAAAGACATACTCAAGTTAAAAACATTACCTTGAGTGCTATCTGTGTGTGATTTATGTGTTTGAATATGCCTAAACTTGGGGAAAATGTCTATAAAGCCAATTTCTCTGATATCTGTATTTAATGTCAAAGTCTTTTGATAATGATAAAGGCTTTTCTTTGTGGATGATATATTAACTGGTAGCTTGATAAGACTCAGGAGCAGGATTATGTTTATTTTAATTAATACTATCTCATCCTTAATATTTCTTCACCTCTTATATTTTATTTTGCCTGCTGCATCATTGATTTCTAGTTATTTATGAAAATGCTGTGTCATATTTTTGAAATTGAATTTAAGAGATCCAATACACACTTTTAAATTTTTTTATGGACATAATTTGAGATATACGTATGAGACTCTGAACAATAGGTAAGCTCTATTGGTGTTAAGTCTCTCTCCAGGAGTCTGAGTACCTGGCATACAGAGAAGAATGTACAGATGAAAGTGCACAGAACCGCACAAACTCAGAGACCTAAACCGACAGAAGACAATAAGCAGTAGTCACAAGACAATGAAAGCCTTGAGCAAGGACTAGCGATGTTAAAGATGAAGCTATTCACTTTGAAAAGACTGAACAAAAGCTGGGTATCAAAGCTGTGGAATCAAAGGCAAAGTGATTAAGGTGTTATGGAACAGATGTGGAGTAAAGAAACAAGGACATCTACTTTTTGAGAGACAGGTTAAGCATGAGAGGAGTGGTGTAAGTCAATTGCGGATCCAATCTCTCAGAGTTAGAGCCTTCCAGACTCAAGGAGCCTGTTCATCCTCATTCCCATGAGGAGATCTTCAATAACCCAGCACTGAGATGACCTGAGCCCTCTTTCTTTCTATCAGTCTTCATGAGCTCAAATAACAAAAGAAAATGCCGAATAAATGTATTTTCACGAAGGAAATGGAATCTTCTTTGTTAAATGATGTTTCAACATCTAAAGCGATGCAGATTGCATTGTCTAAAGAAATAAATCCAAAATGTCATGATGAAAATTGATTATTTACACTATCTGAAATGTTTCAGGGAATTTTGGTTTTGTCTATAGTATTTGTACAGTATTAACATAAAGTATCAATGCTGAGGTGAACTACCCATAAAATGTAGACTTACGGTGTTATAACTTACTGCATTTATTAATATGGATAAGCTAAAGGAAAAAAATCGAAGTCCTAGTTGAATATACATGGTCACAGGACTTTCTGCTTTTTAAATGAAGAACACAAGAAAAATAATGGTGTCTGACTGCTATGGTTTGAATGATGGTGCCCGCTCTAAAATTTGTGTTGAAAGTTAATGCAACATTATTAAAAAGTGTGGTTTTGGGGAGGTGATTAAGTCACCGGGGCTCCACCTTCATGAATGTGATTAGCACCTTTATAAAAAGATTATAGTTGAAGGGAGCACTCTCTGGACCTTCCATTCATTTTGCCAAAAGACTGTGAGAGCACAGTCCTTTTCCCTTCTAGAAGATGCAGGTGCAAGGCACCCTCTTAGGAACAGAGATCCACCTGAACTAGACATCAATCCTGCTGGTGACTTGATCTTGAACTCTCTAGGTTCCAAAAGTGAGAAATAAATTTCTGATATTTATAAATTACCTAATCTGTGGCATATAGTCATAACAGCACAGACTAAGACAATGATACAATATTTACACTTGTGTAAGTGTTACCTAACATATGATGAAATTAATACAACTAGCACCTGCTTTCTGAGGTCATTATTCTTCAGACTCTAAAATGGGCAAAAAACATGTTCATATACAAACAAATTTTACAAATGAGTGTAATGCAATCAGTAAAATTTTATTTTTTAAAATAAATATATTAACATGATTTGAATTTATCACATATAATTCATCAGAAGAATATTAGGACAACTTATATATATGACTTACACATTTTTAACTTAAATCATTGCTTTCCAAATTGCTAACTAAAACACATTACTAAATTTAACCCTTCCATGTCAAGGAATAAATGCTTAGAATCCACAATAATAGGGCTAATACACACATTTAAATATGAATTGCAAACAGCATAAATATGAACTAATTTCCATTGATATATGGTCAGTTAAAATAAAACAATATGCAAATAGATGGTTTTTAAGTGGAAGAAATTAGCTTTGTATTCTACCTTTAAAAATGAGAAACAAAACTATTGATATTATCTTATTCTTCCCAGCTATTAGAATATTAATTGATATTAGTATTTCTTTGTTTTGATGAAGAGTAAACACTTTACTAAATTGACGCCACCAATGGTACCCTGAACATTATCCTTTTATAGGTAAATTGAGAAGTCATTAATACTAGAAATATAAGCTATGACATAAGCCAGTTATTGATTTTTCTCAATGGCTTTATGTTTATCTTTGCATATTTTTTGCATGTTCAGCAAGGTGGTTATTATTTCTACAATATTTCTGTAATATATAAACACATTTTCCCGCTATATGAGGAAACATTTTGCTCTGAGTTGGGAACATTTGCTTTATCACTTTATTCAAATGGAAAATCCTTAGTTACTTCATTATAATCTTTACTACAATTGTTATGTAAACGATGATATTAAGATTCTTAGTATTGTCTATGCATTGTTTTTCACATTTGCTTCAAAGTCTCATTGGTTTAGTTCCATAGTGATACAATTTTTGTTGTTATCATTGTTTTATTACTATGTATAAGAATTGCATTATTCCTCTAGTATCATGCAACAATCCTTGTTGAATCTGCATTGTTCAAACCTGTGGTACCCAATTTTTAGTATGCATCAGAATCACTATGAAAGCTTCTAAGAACACAGATTACCATACCTGTCTCTGGAGTTTCAGATTCAGTAGTGGCCTGAGAAGTTGAATTTCTACAATATTATGTTCCTGCTGCTGGTGTAGAAGCTCCACAGTGAGAATCACTGCTATAAAGCAATTTGTTTTTTCTTCCTTTCCGTATCATTTGAGTTACAACTTACAGGTGGGCACCTGTAATCCCAGCTACTAGGGAGGCTGAGGCAGGAGAATCGCTTGAACCCAGGAGGTGGAGGTTGTAGTGAGCCGAGATTGTGCCACTGCACTCTAGCCTGGGCAACAAGAGTGAAACTCTGTCTCAGAAAAAAAAAAAACAAAAACAGTTTAAGACATAGGTCCAGTTACAGAGATTGCTTCTAATCTATAAAGTTGTTTTTGCAAGCAGGTGATTTAAAGTAATCTGAAATGATATTATAAATATATTTACTAGTACTTCTTGACAATCTAAATTAAGTAGCTTATCAAAATTTCTCTTTAGTTGTGCACTTTAAATATTCTTGCTTGATAAATATAGAAATGTCACCACTACTACCACAAATTTTGATAATTTATAGCAGTAATATTTTGATTAATGTAATTCAGATGTGAAATGAGTTTAACCACACTTACTTGTCATACTCATTTTCATTTAAAAAGTGCTCAGAGAAGCTCAGCAGCAAAAGTATGTTCAAATCACAATTGTTTCACATTCTTATGTCTGTCCAGTTATAAAAGCAGGAATAAAAATATACATCAAAGTAATATGGCCAAGGTTTTGCTCCACATAATTTCAATATATGCATCCTATGCTATTCCCTAACTGGAACATTTGATGTGAATTCTTGTAGTCATCTGTCTTCAAGTATTAGCAATACTTTGTAACTTCTCCCAAGTATAAATTCTCCACTGACTTTATTTCTTCCACATATTACCTAGCTAGCTTTGCTAAAGAGGTTAAAATGTGCATTATGAAAGTAAATGTGGAATTTACCTTTCTTTACCTACTATAAAATTATCTTAGTTGAAACTGGTTGTCATAAATCAACGGAACATCAGCTTAGGTGTTAAAGCTTTCTAATGGAGGAAATGCTGCTCATATTTTTGTGATACCATTGAGTATCTTCTCCCTATTTTCAAGAGGCAGATCTCCTTGTATCATTATTTAACATAAATTGTGTGTGTCTGTGTGTGTGTGTGTGTGTATACTTGTGAGTGAGACATTTTATATGTTGAATCTTAAATAAATTCAAATGCTCATTGCCTTACTCAATTAAAGCAGCTGTTAAGTGAATTTTTAAAAGGTTGTTGCTATGCCAATATCAGTTCTGGCATTTATAACTCAGTGCTAATTTTATCACACCAGTGTTATCAAATTTAAAAAGACATTGTTCTACCATCCATTTCCCCATTTATTAGATGGGTATTCAATACTCACCCTATGGCAAGCACTCCAGTTAGGCATGCTTGGATGACCAAAGTGTTTTTTCTGGTATAAGCTATAGGGTTTTGGATATATCTCTATTATTTCCTGTTTTTTAAAAAAAACAATAACCACAAAATTGCTGAGTCTTTACTAGGAGAAATCTTCTGAGGACTTTATTCATCTGGATGAAACTGTATCACTTAAAATAATTTTGGAAAGTCTTGCTGGAAATGTTTTAGAGTTGTGTCACTGTATTCTAGATAATATAAAAATAAAAATAAGCATCTACCCTTTTGAATTTATAGTAGGCATTCGTTTTTATGAGGATATCATTTCTCCCCATTCCCACTACCAAAGAGCAGTGTACCTGTTTAATGGTGAATGCTTCTTAACACAGTTTATCAGCTAATTTAATCAGGTTGGATACTACCCAAGCAAACACTCCAAACTCTCCTCCCCTGGAATTCTGATTTAGAAAACTGCTAAAAAACAGATAATGATCACCTCAATTATAAATTTAAAAGTACCTAACTGTGGGATGAAATATATCAGGGGAGCAATAGAAGACAGCTGGTCTTGTTTATCAAAAGAAAGAAGGGGATAGAACAGCTGTCCATGAAAAACAATGTAGCTCCTTGGGGAAAGGTGGGACTCCTAGTTGCTGATATCTTGATTCCAAACACCTCCTCTTGACTTGAGACAGTTGAACAATTCATGTTCTTTAAAATTAAAAAATTCTTGACTATAAAAAATGAATTTGTTTCCTGAAAATAGCTGCAAATAATGAGCAAAAGTCTATTGAATACAAATGTAAGCAAACTGTTTATGATTGAAGTAATTGATCAAATTACAAGTTAAGGGATCTTTTTTACCCCTAGGCACAATATCATAAATATTGCTGTCATTCAGCAATGAAGGAGGAAAAGTTAGACTATAGTATTTTAGCGATTCTTTGTGTCAACTTTCAAGCAGAAAGAGGAGTTGCAACCTATTTTGAGAATTGACTTCATTATGAAAATATCTTCAAATTTCTCTGAGAGTGACTGTAGCTCAGCCTGTTGGGTAAATTTTTGAATGATTTTAAACCAAACAAAACTGGCCATTGGTCTAATGGTCTTCTTCTATAGGCAGCCTCATAGGACTTTGGTCTTACCAATTTTCAGCTGTTAATTATGGGTAACCATAATTAACATAAGGGCAAACATAAGGGAAAACATATTATGCTCTGGAATGTAAAGATAAAGTTACATTTTGAGTCAAACTACATTCACCATGAAGTTTTTCATGGGAAGAAATGTTTATAATGTTTTTTAAAAGAATATATTAAAAGTTGCTGAGTTTCCACAACCTGTTCCTGACAGCTACTTCAGTGTAAGTAATACATCACAGGGGTGATGGCAATCTGATGATGTATTGGAACTATACATCATTGTGGTGACGGTGCTTTAATGACGGATGAGTAATACATCTTCAGGTAAAGCTCTCAAATTTAGGCCTGCCGGAAAATAGAGTTTCTGGAAGAAGAAAACATCTTATCAACTTTATAAAAGAATGCCTGTAATAAAACATATCTTGCTGAATTGGAGGGACGTAAGTTTGGATGCAAAAATGAGACATCATAATTCCCTTTTTTAAATGTACATACTCCTTTTTTTTTCTTATTTAACATGTTTACTGCAGGTTAAAGACACCCTCAACATTAAAAAAGGGTTTCCATTTATTTTTGTATTCTTCATACTTCATTTACCCATCACTTCAACATTTATCATTGTATATTCTTTCTTACTTTTTTCTTGGAACTGGAAAAAATTTCTTTTCGGCGATGTGACTTTCTTCTTGCTAATAAGAATTTCCTATCTCTGTACAGGTGGGAATATTATTTGGCAAATACCTTTTGCTTTTTCTGTCTTTAATGAACCATTCAAAATCACATTTTCCTGGGGTTGTGTTTCCTTTAAAAGCTTAATTTTTCATCTTCACACAGATATGAAAAGCAGCGATTCTTTTACTATTCATCAAACGCATGAAGAGGAAAATTAAAAAAAAAACTAAACCAACAAACAAGCAAAATTGCATAACATAGGTACATTTTACTACGTTTGTAAAGTATTGATGTTTAGGATTATTTTTGAATTTACTTTAGTACTTAGAAAATTATATACATGCACATACATTCATCTCTATGTGCATTTATGTATGTGTACATGTGTAATACACACACATGCACATGTAATACACACATGCACATACACCTACTGTTACCGAATACATTGCTGGAAAAGACTTCAGCAATATACTGCATTTTTATGGTTTTTTTAAGTCTAATTTTTCCAATTTAAAATGGAATCTATTCAAACAAAACTAAGTTTGAGGATGGCTGTATAGGAAGCACAGATTTCAAGGCCATTCCTTTGGTCAGTGTTACAAAGCGGCAAAATCAGAAGGTTGTTTACACAGGCAAAAACAGAGAAATTGAATAGCATCATAGTGTTTCTAAACAAGGCTAGCATTTAGTGTTCCCCTTGGCCCTTTGAAGTTTCGCTGAAAAATCAACTTTCAAAAAGAAGATTAATAGGAGAAAAGACATACAACCTTACTTAACATGCATATACTGCATATTTAAAACAGATTATTGTCTTCTATCCACATTAAAAAGCAAAAGCACATTAACATTAGATAGTCTTTAAAATACTTAAACTGTCAGGATCTATGGAAGTACAGATTTAATTTCAAAATTTAGGGAAAAAGACTACAAAAATGATACATTTCAAATATGTAAATTATAGTCATATTAGCATAAATCCCCAACAATCTTGAACGGGATTTGGTGAAGTTGATGACAAGTATTTCTTTACCAAAGTAGTATAATCAAATTGTCTATAGAAAGTAAAATATAAGGTGATGATGTGTGCCATGTGCCTATCTCTGGGTACAACCTGTTGGAAATGTCCTCTGTCTCACATTGGGAAACTTATCCCAGGTTTGCCTCTGTGTCCGTTTATATAGGAATATTCTCCAAAATGAAAACTATGACCAGGCTAGCCTGTTAACCTGTTATAAGATAAATCCATAACCTGAATCTGGGATTAGAAAATTGATTTCTTTGGCTTTTTTCTTTACTCTAAATTTGATCTAGGAATTATAGTTTTCTCTCCTTGTTTACTGAATTGCTTCTAAAGAGGAGAGAATCTAGCCAAAGGAAACATGCAGACTGAAGCAAGTGCTAGCTATGGTGCCTTAAAATAAAAGAGCAGAAGATTTACATTGCCTATGAGTGAATTTTGATGAAATGATGCAAAAATTAGAGATATCATCCTTTATGGAAGTGAACTCTGAGACATTAGCTACGATAGGACATTATGACAGGACACTTCAGATGTTTGAATTTCAAGTTGAACTTGCACTATATTTGCAGATATATACATTTCTGGATAGGATATTGTGGAAATTAAATTAGAAAATATATATGAAAAAGAGGGCTTGGCATATTTTAGGCTCTCAGTAAATAGTAACTATAGATTATAGTTCAACAAATAGAAAAATCTTTAAACAGACATTCTTGAATTTTTTTAAAAAAAGATATTTTCAATAATTTGAAAAAATACCAAGAGGAAATAACTGTTGTAGAACTTAGCTAAAACAATAACAAATCAAAAATATCTAATAAATAGAATCTCAAAATTAAAATCTTATATCTTCAATTTAGGATCATACTTGCTCTATTGAGTCAGGTCCTTGGTCTATCGATTTTAATATTCTAAAAGGGAGCTATTTTTTGAAGGTGAGTATATTTGTCTTTCATTATATGCCAAACATGTGAGAAGGTATTTAAGTAAAGATGTATCTGGCTTCAAGATATAATAACTGATGAAACACAGGTTCAAGTGAGCACAGTTGTTGATACGGTTTGGCTCTGTGTTCCCACCCAAATCTCATCTCCAATTGTAATCCCCGTATGTTGAGGGAGGGACCTGGTGGGAGGTGATTGGATCATGAGGGCAGTTTCCCCCATGCTGTTCTCGTGGTTGTTTGATAAGTGTTTCACATTTTTCCCTGGGCTCTCTGTCTCTCCTGCTACCATGTAAGACATGCCCTTCTTCCCCTTCACCTTCTGCCATGATTGTAAGTTTCCTGAAGCCTACCCAGCCATGCAGACTGTCAGTCCATGAAACCTCTTTTGTTCATAAATTACCCAGTCTCAGGTATTATCTTTATAGCAGTGTGAGAACAGACCAATACAATAATCCTTTATGATGGGTTAAAATTAGAAACTCAAAGAGCGAGGCCTCACACAATGGCTCACACCTGTAATTCCAGCATCTGGGAGGCCCAGGCAGAAGGACTGCTTGAAGCCAGGAGTTCCAGACCAGTCTGGGCAACTAAATGAACCCTAACTCTACAAAAAAATAAAATAAAATTAGCAGGGCATTATGGCATGTGCTTGTAGTTCCAGCTCCTCAGGAGGCTGAGGTGGGAGGGTCATTTGAGCACAAGAGTTCAAGGTTGCAGTGAGCTATCATCATGCCACTGCACTCCAGCCTGGGTGACAGAGCAAGACCCCATCACTAAAATTAAAAAATAAAAAAGAAAATAAAAAGAAATAAGAAACTGAAAGAATGTGAAAAATGGCCGAGAGTGGTGGCTCACACCTGTAATCCCAGCGCTTTGAGAGGCCAAGGCGGGTGGATCACTTGAGGTCAGGAATTTGAGACCAACCTGGCCAGTGTGGCAAATCCCCATCTCTACAAAAAACACAAAAATTAGCCTGGTGTGGTAGTGCATGCCTGTAATCCCAGCTACTAGGGAGGCTGAGGCAGCAGAATTGCTTGAACCCAAGAGGCAGAGGTTGCAGTGAGCGGATAATGCTCCACTGCACTCCAGCCTGGACAACAGAGTGAGACTCCATCTCAAAGAAATAAAAAATAAAAAAAAGGTGAAAAATTGTCACTTTGTATTGGTAGGGCTGCATGTTTTCTGCTTATTGTTTTCTGTTTTAACAGATTTCTCTGTGTCTCTGAACATCTGGTAGAAGATGACCAGTCAAAACACCTAATTTTAAATGAGACCTACAGAGAGAAAGTAGTGTCTTTATCCTTAAATTTAAAATTTCTTAAATGAGAATTTGCTTGATTCAGCTTGAATCAAGTATAAACACTTTGCCCCCACCAATATTGCCTATGTGCTGAGGTTGTACAGACACAGTTATCAGGGTCAATCCCTTAAATTGAGGAATGCTGTTTAATAAAGGAGTTCATAGGTTGGGTTAACTTACCAACTGATTTTACTATAAGTAAGAGTACACATTTTCCTTATATGGGAGTCTTTCTTTGTAGTGTTTAAAAATTTGTCTGAACTGTTTGAGTGATCCAAAGAAGACAGTTTTAGGGTGGACTAATACTTAGAGAGGTCACGTAATCTAAGCTATGATCCAATTAATTGAAAATAAAAATCAAAGAAAAATTGATTTTAAATGGTCAGGATCATAGCATTTATAAGAAACACCCAACCTGTTCTGGGCGCGGTGGCTCACATCTGTAATCCCAGCACTTTGAGAGGCCAAGGTAGGCAAATCACAAGGTCAAGAGATTGAGACCATCCTGGCCAAAATGGTGAAACCCCGTCTCTACTAAAAATACAAAAATTAGCTGGGTGTGGTGTTGGGCACCTGTAGTCCCAGCTACTCGGGAAGATGAGGCAGGACAATCGCTTGAACACCAGAGGCAGAGGTTGCAGGCAGAGGTTGCAGTGAGCCAAGATCACGCCACTGCACTCTAGCCTGAGGACAGAGCAAGACTCCATCTTAAAATAAATAAATAAATAAATAAATAAATAAATAAATAAATAATAAGCAAACAGAAAGAAACACCCGACCGGGCGCAATGGCTCAGGCCTGTAATCCCAACACTTTGGGAGGCCAAGGCAGGTAGATCACGAGGTCAGGAGTTCAAGACTAGCCTGCCCAAGATGAGGTCACCCTGTCTCTACTAAAAATACAAAAAGTAGCTGGGCATGGTGGCACATGCCCGTAATCCCAGCTACTTGGGAGACTGAGGCAGATAATTGCTTAAACCCGGGAGGTGGAGGTTGCCGTGAGCTGAGATTGCGCCACTGCACTCTAGCCTGGGCAACAGAGCAAGACTCCATCTCAAAAAAAAAGAAAAAAAGAAAAAAAGAAACACCTTACATCAGTGGTCCTCAACCATTTTGGCACCAGTGACTTGTTTCAGATAAGACAATTTTTTTCATGAGCCATGTCAAGGGATGGTGTTGGGATGATTCAAATGCATTACATTTATTGTGCACTTTATTTCTATTATTATTACACTGCAATATATAATGAAATAGTTATAAAACTTACCATAATGTAGAATCAGTGGGAGCCCTGAACTTGTTTTTCTATAACTAGATGGGGGTGATGGGACACAGTGACACCCAAAGTGTGTTGCTTTTGTCCCTCCTATGCTGTAATCTCGTTTTAGTTGCTTTCACTGAAGAAAACCCTGCTTCACAAAGATTGGATGTTGGTAATGGAAGCAGGTTTTTCAGTGCTTTTGTGGCAATCTCAGGATATTCTGCCTTTAATCCAGAACATATGGAGATTTGAAGTTGTCTCAAACATACTTTTAAGGCCACTGTCATTTGTGACCTGAAGCAGTTGATCCTCTTCTAGTAGAGACAAAATTGATTCACTTGGCTTATTTACAAATAAGTAGCAGATCCACTTCTTCCCAGTTTGAGAGTCTTTTGTGGTTGGGAAGTAATGCTAAAACTCTTTTGAAAGCTGAGATAGGTGATCATGCACCAACTGGGAGAAAGAAGGCCCTGGCTCAGTCTCTTTCAAGATCTCTGCTAGGCCGGGCTCAGTGGCTCATGCCTGCAATCCCAGCAGTTTGGGAGGCTGAGGCAGGCGGATCACGAGGTCAGGAGATCGTAGCCATCCTGGCTAACACGGTGAAACCCAATCTCTACTAAAAATATAAAAAGTTAGCCAGGCATGGTGGCGGGAGCCTGTAGTCCCAGCTGCTCAGAAGGCTGAGGCAGGAGCATGGCGTGAACCTTGGAGGCGGAGCTTGTAGAGCAAGACTCCCTCTCAAAAAAAAAAAAAAAGAAGTCTCTGCTAAAAGAAGCCCTGGCTCAGTCTCTTTCAAAATCTCTGCTAATGTTTGAAACATGTCAGAAATCTCAGTGTTCTCTTGTTACCCCCATAATACCAGCTTAGCTTTAAAAGCAGCCACTTTACCTGCCAACTTGAACACAGTTGTTGCTCATCATGGCAGCCACTCTGTGCATATACTATCACAAAATTACCAGTTCAGTTTTCCTGATATGTAATCATTCAAAGACTCAGTTCTGCATCTGTGATGTTGGTTGGCAACAAAAGTGCACATAACATATCCTCATGCACATCCTGCTGTAAAATATATCATGTGAAAACAAGCATTGTTGCCTTGCTGTCAATATCGGTAGACTTGTTGACCTGGATTGCATGCCATGGTGACTCATTAATCCTCTCTAACAACTGTACCTCAATATCCTCTGCTATTTCATCAGTTCATCTAATTATGGTGCTAGCTGATAGAGGAACACATGCCACCTTTTGAACTACAGTCTCTCCTAAATGTTCAAGGCAAATGTTCTTAGTAGCAGACAAGATCAACTCTTCACCAATAGTAAAGGGCTTCTTAGATTTAGCAATGCAGGTAGCCACTAAGAATTTTTGCTGTCAGTACAGACACATTTGATGAAGTGGTGGCCTTTAATAACTGCCTCTGTTCTTCGTGGCTATGTTTTATTCTTTGAAAAAATTTCAAAGGCTTGTCTTTTGACACAGGGCGCTTGGTCTCCATGTGGCAAAACAGTTTTGAAGGTTTCGTGACTTCATTGGATAGCCAGTCACCACATAGCATAAAAAGTGTGCTTGAAGGATGTAAATCACCTGTTGCAATGAACCCATAATTTAAGTAGGACTTGGTAGGTATATTCTTCTAAATACAGCTTTGTTTTTCGTGGCCATCTTAGAGTCTTCTGCTGTTGCATCACTGGGTCTTCCCCCTTTTTCAAATAAGCTCCCCAGTGATGTTTGTTTTTTATTCCTTCTTGGCTAGGGTTAGCTTGTGAGCTTAAAAAAACCGTGACTAAGACAAGTCCACAGCGCAGGAAAGTGGCACAGGTGGAAGTGGTAGATAAAATAATGGGCAGGCCGCACACTGACTAAAATAAGTGTTGGGTTCTTACGTAAATTATGCCACCAGCTGCAGCTTGTCACTTGCCACTCACTGATAGGGTTTTGATATGAGTCTGCAAGCAATTGATTTATTATGGTCTCTGTGCAGTTAAACCTCTCTGCTAATGTTAATCTGTATTTGCAGCTGCTTCCCAGCGCTAGCATCACCACGTCAGTACCAACTCAAATCATCAGGCATCATTAGATTCTCATAAGTAGCAAACAACCTAGATCGCACACATGCGCAGTTCACAATCGGGTTCTAGTTCCTATGAAAATCTAATGCCACTGCTGATTTAACAGTAGGCGAAGCTCAGGCAGTAATGTGAGCGATAGGGAGCAGCTGTAAATACAGACGAAGCTTCACTCCACTCACCCGCCGCTTGCCTCCTGCTGTGCGGCCCAGCGCCTAACAGGCCAGGGACTGGTATCACTCCACGGCCCAGGGCTTGGAGACCCCTGCCTTACATCGGATATGTCCATCTTGTATAGCAATTATAGCCAGGTGAAGTTATGAAGCATGATCTCTTCAAATTATAAATAAAAACTTTTATAAAAATAAATATTCCTGTGTATAAATGCAGAACAATTAACAAAGAAAAGGTACCATTTATCAAGAGGGAAAAAAAGTGACAATGCATATTTCAGTAATCTATCTGCAGAATGCACAGCTCTGTAGGAATCAAGAGAAAAGGAGAGCCAAATCCTGAAAGAGCAGCTCGTTGGCATAAGTTTAATTTAAATAATTTAAGAATTTAACTCTAAGAGGCACATAAAACTGTGACGGGTGGCCAAGAGATAAAATTGTGTGCATGTATCCATACACTCTAATTCTTTGGTCCTTGATTTCATGTGGTCCCTGGTGGCTTTTTAGCTTTGCCTTTACATTTTTAAGAAGAACAAAAATGTGTAATACATATGTATTTGCTGCTACAGAATGCAATTCAAACTGTTTAAAGAAAAATTATTCAGGATACTTGTTAAAATAGCAATGCAGACTTTATTCTGGACTATCAGAATAAGTATAGGGACTACTGCAATGAAGTTTTGCAGTGGGTAAGAGAAATCGGGTCAATTCCAAACACAAAAACAAAAGGTGTGAGTTTATAGCCAAGAAGCTGGCCAAGGGAAGTGAATGAAAAATTACTAGTTGGAAACGTCAGAAGGAAGGCAGAACTTTGACGTCACTTAGTAGGATTCTTGCTGAAAGCCAACCAGCATGTTCAGATAGTAAGCGCCAGGGATGCTGGCTAAACCAACTTTACAGGATTCTTGCTAAAACTAGGCTCTTGGAGGACACATCCAAAGATGGGGCCCATAGTGAAACTCAGAGGAGACTGTCTAAGGTTTGATCCAAAAGTGTATCTTTGTCAAAATCTATCTAACTTGAGAAAGAACATTAAAATAACACAACTCTGTAAGATGAAAAATTAGCCAGGCGCGGTGGCTCACGCCTGTAATCCCAACACTTTGGGAGGCCGAGGTGGGCGGATCACGAGGTCAGGAGATCCAGACCATTTTGGCTAACATGGTGAAACGATGTCTCTACTAAAAATACAAAAAAAAAAAAAAAAAAAAAAATAGCCGGGCTTGGTGGCCGGCGCCTGTAGTCCCAGCTACTCAGGAGGCTGAGGCAGGAGAATGGCGTGAACCCGGGAGGGGTAGCTTGCAGTGAGCCGAGATCGTGCCACTGCACTCCAGCCTGGGTGACAGTGCAAGACTCTGTCAAAAAAAAAAAAAAAAAAAAGAAAGAAAGAAAGAAAGAAAGAAAGAAAGAAAGAAAGAAAGAAAGAAAGAAAAAATAATGAAAAGTGTCTTTGGGTATTTAACTGCTATTAAATATAAGCAAGATTGAGTTGTTCAGCCATTATAAAATAAAGACAGTAATTTATTTTTCGATTGCCTGATGTTTTCTGAACATTTCAGGATGGCTTATAAATTATTGTGCATTTAATATGGTACATATACATATAAAATTAAAGATTATGCATTATTACATAAGTGGAAAAATGTTTCATATCAATGTTTTCTATCATTTAGCAATAGAAAATGTAAAAAAATTTATAATGCCCTTAACAATTAAAATTTTAAATTAACAATGAGAACTTTTTTATATTAAAATTCATTAAGAAAAGAGATAATTTGTAACAAATGATGTATTATTAGGGGTCAAAAAGTACACTAAAGAAGGAAAATGTACTTTGTCTCACTATCAAATTCTTCAACTTGTTTTAAGTTAATGAATAGTAAATGTATTATTTATTTTTTAGTTCTTGTTTGCTAGTAAATGTTTAATTAATTTGTTTAATGTTGTAATAGGCTGAGTGATGGCCCTGTAAAGACATCCACATCCTAATTCTTGAAACCTATGAATGTTACGTGGAAAAGACTTTATAGATGTTACATCAACGATCTTGGTATAGGGATATTATACTAGATTATACAGTGGGCCCAAAATACAACTACAAGTGTCTTTACAAGGCAGAGAAAGATTTCACAGATAACAATAGAAGACAATGTGATCAGTAAAACAGATGTTGGAATTTTGCAGTAACAAAACAAGATGCTGGCAGCCAGCAGAAGCCAGGAGAGGCAAGGCATGAATTCTTCCCAGAGCCTTGAGACGGAGTGTAAACCCTGTTGGCAATTTTATACTTGTCAACCCTGTGATACTGTATTCGGTCTTCTGAACTTTTTATATATGCAGCATACTTTACAACACAGGATAGTTCACTAACCTTCTCACAAGCTCCTTATCTCATTGCAGACTCACAAGAAGTAGTCCGTGGATACAGTCTAGGAGTATATCTTAAAGCTCATCTGCTATCCTGTGATGTGTTTCTAGTTTATTCTCATCACTGGACATTTCTTTATCTACCACACACAAAAAAATGTGTGTCATTTAAAAATCTACAAAGATAAAAGCTCACTTTCTTCTTAAAACTTGGATTTCAGTAGCAACCATTTTATATGTTTATTATAATTTTTAAAGAAACTTCCATTTAATCTTAGGTACTACTGAAGACATAGGCAATCTCCCAATCACCTGGTCGAAATAACACTCCCACTCTTACATCACTGAATTTTGGGAAGAGTCAACTTGGAAACACTGTATTTAATTACTTTTAGAAATAAATGTCTTGCTTAATATAATAAAGATATCTACACAAAGCTAATATTCATAGATACATACATTTTATTTTACATTATCCAAGGAATGTAGTAAGTAGGTGTATAACTCTGAGCTACACTATTAATATTAAACATTACATATATATAGGAAGAAGCTTCCTATTATTGGATTGATGAATAGTAGCTTGCTGTAAATAAGAAAAGCCAATGAGTGTTGTCTTCTGTATAGATAATATGAATTGAAAAGAAATGTGGTGCATTTATTTGAAAGAATGTTTTGCATTTACATTTTTAAAATGTGATATTTACTGCCAAAGATGACATTTTCTTTACCAAATGTTTCTTTGAAATGTATTTGGATAAAAATGACTTCTATATAGCTACAAATGTGGGTATGAAGTATAGGAGGAATCAGTGGCCTTGAGGTAAACGGATTTAAAAATTATTTATTCAGGGTTAATTGTAATTTAAGTAGTCTAACTCTTAAAACAGCCACTGTGATTTTTCTTTTTTGTAAGCTACCAATGGGATTATTATTTCTTTAAATGAACCAATTTAATAGTTGCCAGGCATTTATTCAAGGATTTCAGATCATATTTTCACCCTATTTACAAGTACTTTTGTTTATTCAAAGGGAATTCTACAGGTATTTATCATTTGTGAAAAACAATATTGTAAAAGACCTAACTTGGTAATTTTTTTTAGATAATTCATCCCAGAGACTATGATTACATGCACAAAACAATTTAGTTATTCAGATGAACATAACTAGCTTTTAGGCAAATAATCAAATCTGTAATATAGATTAACACAATCATCTATTTGCAGGAATGAGGAAAAAAGTTAACTTTACAAATTCTACCATAGTATAATTTTAAATATAAAAACAATTTCAGCAATTTTAACTAAATAATATGTGCCGCAGAACTTATACATGCCTAGGTACATGCATAGCTATAAACAGGCAAATCTAGGACTGCAGAACTAATTTTCTACCTTGAAAATTTTTTATTTTATATATCACAATGCCACAAAAAGTTGACTCTTTTGTGTGCTCAAGAGCCCTGGATATTATTCAGTCAAATAATGGCCAATATTGTTTTTTTTTAATTGTCCTTTCAGGCAATTTATCCAGATTTTATATAAAGAACAAAGACTCTTAATATACATTTAAATTTGTATTCCTTCTACGTAAATCAGCAGACTGTATAGTATACAAATTTGTAGCATTTCTTTTTATAACCAGGATAAATGTAAGATTGGCTCATGAAAATGAAATGCAGTTAAATTTCATTTATTTTTCTAGGTGATGCACAGGGATCTAAATATAAACTTGGGCATTCCTTCCAACAGTTCTTAATTAAACCATTCATGCAAATGTTATCATCTGTAGGATAAGTATTATAGCTCTCTGTATTTAGCTTCTCCCTTCTCCTCACTCCTTTTCTTCATGTGGTCATCAATATTTCTTTAATGTCTACTGTATATCTGGTGTTATAAGCTGATCCCAGCAATATCCTAACAATCTAGACTAAACACACCCCCCACCTTTTGCAATGTATTTATAGATTGGATTATTTTAGGAAAGACACACCTATAATATTACTCAGAACTATCAACTATTCATAAAGAAAATTTTACAATTTCACGAGATGTCTGTAGGAAAAGCACTGTAAGTATTTAGTGTTAAGGTTAGAAATTTATTGTGACCATTGTATCACAGTGAAAACAATGTCTTAACTTCAGAAATATATAAAATTTGATTCTCCAAACTAGGTGTTGTACCTGATATTCAAGTCTTTAATACTTATAAGTACTTAGGACAATTAAATATAAATAAGAGAGTTTTGTGTCTGTTTACTAATAGAGGTTGATTTGTTTCTTCTAAATTATTATGGGAAGTGTATTAACTTGTATAATGTACATTATTTCTCTCTACGAAATAAAAAATGACATTAAAAATCATCACTTTTTGGTTGCCAGAAGGTTAAAGTAACTGGCTAGAACATTATATGTGTGTATGTTTGTGTGTATGTGTGTGTGTGTTTGTGTAAAGAAATGACATGTAATGGATAACTTAGAAAATGTACTCCACTGATTTGCATTAATTGAAGAAAAGATTTGTTGGAATAAATGACATGACAAAAATGTAGGTTTATGATTTCCAAACAGAATAAATAAAAGGCCGTATGAAGAATATTAAAAGTGCAGTCAAGTGATGCTTAACTACAAGTATATGTTCCATAAATGCATAATTAGGCAATTTCGTCGGGCAAACATCACAGAGTGTACTTACACAAAGCTAGATGCTATAGCCCACTACATTCCTATGTTATATGGTATAACCTATTGCTCCTAGACTGCAAACCAGTACAGCATGTCACTGTCCTGAATACTGTAGGCAATTGTAACATAAAGGTAAGCATATGTGTAGCTGAACATTTCTAAATGGAGAAAGAGTACAGTAAGAAGACAGTATAAAACATAAAAATGATGCCATTGCTTTTGGTGTTTTAGTCATGAAGTCTTTGCCCATGCCTATGTCCTGAATGGTATTGCCTAGGTTTTCTTTAGCCAAAATTGACAAATGGGATCTCATTAAACTAAAGAACTTCTGCACAGAAAAAGAAACTGTTATCAGAGTGAATGGGAAACCTACAGAATGAGAGAAATTTTTGCAATCTATCTATCTGACAAAGGACTAATATCCAGAATCTACAAAGAACCTTAAACAAATTTACAAGAAAAAAACAAATAACCCCATCAAAAAATGGGCAAAGGATATGAACAGACACTTCTCAAAAGAAGATGTTTATGTGGCCAACAAACATATGAAAAAAAGCTCATCATCACTGGTCATTAGAGAAATGCAGATCAAAACCACAAAGAGATACCATCTCACGCCAGTGAGAATGACAGTCATTAAAAAGTCAGGAAATAACTGATGCTAGAGAGGATATGGAGAAATAGGAACACTTTGCCACTGTTGGTGGGAGTGTAAATTAGTTCAACCATTGTGGAAGACAGTGGGGCGATTCCTCAAGGATCTAGAACTAGAAATACCATTTGACCCAGCAATCCCACTACTGGGTATATACCCAAAGCATTATAAATCATTCTACTATAAAGATACATGCACACATATGTTTAATGCAGCACTATTCACAATAGCAAAGACTTGGAACCAACCCAAATGCCCATCAATGATAGACTGGATAAAGAAAATGTGGCACATGTACATGTGGAATACTATACAGCCATAAAAGGATGAGTTTATGTCCTTTGAAGGGACGTGGATGAAGCTGGAAACCATCATTCTCAGCAAACTAACACAGGAACAGAAAACCAAAAACCACGTGTTCTCACTCATAAGTGGGAGTTGAACAATGAGAACACATGGACACAGAGAGGGGAACATGACACACTGGGGCCTGTCAGGTGGTGGGGGGACAAGGGAAGGGAGGGATAGCATTAGGAGAAATACCTAATGGAGATGGCGGGTTGATGGGTGCAGTAATCCACCACGGCACGTGTATGCCTACGTAACAAACCTGCACGTTCTGCACATATATCCCAGAACTTAAAGTATAATTTAAAAAAAAAAAAGAAATAAAGAAATGCAGTTGACAAAATTAAGGAGAGGCAGGAGCCAGTCTTCTCTGTGCGGAAACTCAGTAGTTGGGTTTTCTCCACTCCATGAAGATGCAGGCAGGGCTGCAGTGTCCCGGGAGCTTCTGTCTCCAACCATAAAGAATCGGGAACCTGCAGTGAAAGCAAAGTGTAGACATGTAACAACTACTTGGTTTTGTTCTAAAACTCCAGGGGTTCTTCCACTCAATTGGAAAACTCCCATCATGTTTTCCAGCCACCAGGTCCAATCTCTTCGTGAAGAGCCATGACCAAGAGAACAGGATTGCTTGGCTGGAAGGGATCTTAGAAATCTCAGAGTGGTTGAGAGTTTGCTCTTTGGCGTCGATCTTCCTGGTTTCCAGCTACAGTTTTGCCACTGGGTGTAAGTCCTTGAGCAAGTTATTTGGCTTCTCTGAACCTCAATTTCCACATGTGTAAAAGAGGAATTATAATATATACAGTGGATTTTGTGAGGATTAAGTGAGAGGACTAGATGCTTGTAACTTGGTACATTTTAAATACACGATAAAGTAATTGACTATTATTTTATTTAGTTCCTTCATTTTATGGATACAGAGAAGATAATAAATCTAAGTAATGCCTGGCTTAGCTCTTTACTTCATGAAAGAAAAACGTAAGAATGATATACCTGTATTGGACATTGACTATAAATGGAGCTTCCAGCTTGCAGGACTGGAAGTTGATCTGGATAAGTCAGTGAGTGAGTGGTGAATGAATGTGAAGGCCTAAGACAATACTGTACTTTACTGTAGACTTTGTAAACACTGTATTCTAGGCTATATTAAATTTATTTTAATTTTTTTCTTTCCCCAAAAAATACATTATCCGTAGCTTACTGTAACTTTTTTACTGTATAAACTTTTTCATTTTTTTTAACATTTTGACTCTTATAACTTTTGTGAACTGACACCCCACACCTCCAACCCAAACTTGCCCTGAGATGTATCTCATTTTTATAAGTCAGAAACAGCATTAGAATGCAGTAAGAGTTAGAAAAGAAAGTGTGTAATAGAAAATAAACTAATGTATAACTAGGCAGTTCTTAAAAAGTTTTAAGTGGGAAACAGCAAAAGAGAAATATGGCTTCACTCTTAAATGAAGTCAAGCTGTTCAAGAAACATAGCTTAAAATACAACACACTGTACATCTGTACAAATATACGTTTTAGTATCCTTACTCTTTAAACTTTTTTCTATGTTTAAATTTTGGACATTTAAACTTTTTTGTGAAAAGTTAAAACACAGACATGCACACACATTACCGTAAGCCTTCACAGGGTTTGAATCATCAATATCACTGTCTTCAACTTCCACATTTTTGGCCCACAGGAAGGTCTTCAGGGACAGTAACATGCATGGAGCTGTCATCTCCAGTGATAACAACACCTTCTTCTGGAATACTTCCTGAGGGACCTGCCTGACAGTCAGCTTTTCTTTATTGCTAGGAGTACACTCTAAAATAATGACAGAAAGGATAGTATAGTAAATAAATAAACCAGTAATATAGTCATTTATTATCATTATCAACTATCTTGTACTGTACATAATTGTATTTCTTATACTTTTATACAACTGATAGCACAGTAGGTTTGTTTATATCATCATTGCAAACACATGATTAATGCCTTGTGCTACATTGCCACTGCTACAGATAGGATCACTAGGTAACAGGAATTCTTTAGCTCCATTATAATCTTATGGGACCAAGGTTGTTGACTGAAACATTGTTATGCAGTGCATGAATTTACTTAAAGAAATTGCCTTGTAAATAGTGTTAATTAGCCTATCAATAAATGGATTATAAAAAGGAGCTTGTGAGCACAGTGTGTGCTGGCAGAGTTTGTGTCATATAACACCATCTCCCTTAACAGTCTTGTTTGCAAATATGTGTTTCTTGAACAGCTTGACTTCATTTAAGAGTGAAGCCATATCTCTCCTTTGCTGTTTCCCACTTAAAATTTTTAAAAAACTGCCTAGTTATACATTAGTTTATTTTCTATTACACACTTTCTTTTGCAACTCTTACTGCATTTTAATGCTCTTTCTGACTTATAAGAATGAGATACATCTCAGGGCAAGTTTGGGTAGGAGGTGTGGGGTGTCAGTTCACAAAAGGCCAAAGGAGTTTAAACCATTACCTCATTATCTAAAAGTGTTACTCTCTCTCTGTGTAAAGCAGTTGTTCATACAGAATCAAATTGATACTCCTGAAAATGTCATTTTATTATGTTAGTCACATGAATAGCAACAAGATTAAGGTTTTAATTAAAAAAACAGGTATTTTTTCTGGTGACATTTCTGGAGCTGCTTCCAGTTGATTCTCAAAATTAAATGATCTTAGGTCTATTACAAGTAAATTTCAGAAAGTAAAGCTCTGCATTAACCCTTCTTATACATGGTTTTATTTATTTTAAATTATAGTGCCTTGAAATAACTAAGGTTTATGTAGAAACTTTACCACAAGTGTTAAAATAGTACATAGTCACCTTTAACAAATTGACAGACATAAAGAATTTACAAAGAATTTACCAAAGCTGATGGATGAAATGGATTGGCCCAAAATAATAGTGAAATGCTATATTATTGCTTGGTTTCAAATCTGTCCTTATTCAGTAATTAGTAGAGAAATATTTGAAAAACCACTGAAGTTGCCAAAGCTTTAACTTCCCAATCTATAACTGTATTATAAAATTATTGTGACAAATAAGATTATTAATGTAAAATTCTGTAGACTGGTATATTAGAAATTGTTTAAAATCGTCAAATAGCAATATAAACACCTTATACCCTGACCACATTTCTGCCACTGACAACTTATATGATTTAAGTCAAAATGTTTAACATGCTAATATGTTTCTTAATTATTTAGCCACATCCTGATCATACACAGGCTATGCATAAGCACTAGATTATGTTAAGCTAATTTATTTGAGAGAGCTATCAGAATTCAATAATTATGCTACGGTCTGATTAAGGCAGGGTATTTCCCCTAAATAATTGAAAAACAACTCCATATATGACATTTTCCTAAACTTTCATCATGGGACGCCAAAGCATAGTGTTAAACTAAATAACAAACAGAGAGATACCCTATAAAAGAAAATGAGAGCATGCAGTGGAAATATACCTACCAGAGTAAATTATATGTATATTCAGGAAGGTAAAGGAAAACAAAGGTTTTTAAAGGAAAAATGAACAGAATTACATAATTGTTTTGAGGTAATTATCCTTGGCTATAAGGATTAATAACAAGAATGTGGCAATCCAGGGTTAGACAAGTAGTGGCTGAGCAAATGTCCTCTTAGAAATACTTTTTGTGTAAGGTTGCAATGGCCTTTGTGTAAGGTTGTGGGTTTTGCATGATGTTTTGTGATAATTTTTGTTATCAGGCATTTATGCATGAGAACTCTCCCTTCATGACCTTTCATGGCTCTTTTTTTTTTACTTTTATGTCTGTGTAATAATTGCACATATTAATGGCATATGTGTGATATTTTGATACAAGCATAGAATGTTTAATAATCAAATCAGGGTAATTGGGGCATCCATCACCTGAAGCAGTTATCTTTTGTTTATGTTAGAAACAGTTCTTTTAGCTATCTTAAAATATAGAATTAATTATTGTTAACTGCAGTCGCCCTATTATGCTACCAATCACTAGATTTTATTCCTTCTATCTAACTGTATTTTTGTACCCATTAACTATACCTTTTTTCTCCCCCTCCCCCTGCTATCTTTGAGCCTCTGGTAATGATTGGATTATTCTGCTTTCCATTTCCATGGGTTTCATTTTTTTCAGCTTCCATATATTAGTGAGAACATATGATATTTGCCTTTCTGTGCCTAGCTTATTTCACTTAATGTAATGTCCTCTATTTGTATCCAGGTTGTTGCAAATGACAGAATTTCCTTCTTTCTGATGCCTGAATAATATTCTGTTATGTGTGTGTACCAGATTTTCTTTACGCATTCATCCATTACTGGACACTAAGTTTGGATTTGTACCTTGGCTGTTGTGAACAGCCATGCTGAGCTAAACATGGGAGTGCAGATAATCTCTTTGATATATTTTCTTTTCTTTTGGATATAGACCCAGTAGTGAGATTGTTGGATCATATGTTAGTCCTATTTTTAGATTTTTGAGGGACCTCCATGTTGTTCTACATAGTGGCTGTACTAATTTACATTCTCACCAAAAATGCACAATTGTTTTCCTTTTTTTACATGCTTATCAGCATTTTTATTGCCTATCTTTTGGATAAAACCCATTAAAACGGGTATGAGATGATATTTCATTACTGTCAATTTTGTCGTTGTTCTTGACACAGGTTTTTTCTCTGTTACCTAAGCTGGAGTGCAGTATTGTGATTATGGTTCCCTGCAACCTCAAACTTTTGGGCTTAAATGAATCTCCTGCCTCACCCTCCCAAGTTGCTAGGAATATAGGCATGCACCACCACCCCTGACTAATTTTTTAATTTTTTTTTTTGAAACAGGGTCTTGCTATGTTGTCCTGGCTAGTCTCAAACTCTTGGTCTCAAACGATCCTCCCAACTCAGCCTCTAAGAGTACTGGGATTACAGAGATTAGCCACTGTGCCCAACCTCATTGTAATTTTAATTTGCATTTCTATAATGATTAGTGATGTTATTATATAGTGATGTTTTTATATATATTATTAGTTATTATATATATATTGGCCATGTGTATGTGTTCTTTTGAAAAAATGCCTATTCAGATTGTTTGCTCATTTTTAATTGGATTATTTGTTTTTTCCCTGTTGAGTTGTTTGAGTTCTTTATATATTCTCATTATTCATCTCTTGTTAGATGGGTAGTTCTCAAATATTTTTCCCATTTTGTGGGTTGCATCTTTAGTTTGTTGATTGTTTCCTTTCCTGTAGAAGAAGTTTTTCTATTGTTGAGATTGCATTTGTTCATTTTTGCTTTTGTTGCCTGTGCTTTTGAGCTTCTACTCAAGAAATCTTTGCCATGAACAATGTCTTTGAGTGTTTCCCCAATGATTTCTTCTAGTAGTTTCATAGTTTCAAATATTAGAATTAAATATTTATTCCATTCTGATTTTATTGTTATATATGGTGAAAGACAGGGATCTAGTTTTATTCTTCTGCATATGAATATTCAGCTGTCCCAACACCATTTACTGAAAAATTTGTTATTTCCTTAATATATGTTTTTGACACTTTGTGAAAACAAGTTGACAATAAATATATGAATTCATTTCTGGGTTCTCTATCCTGTTTCAGTATTCCATCTGTCTGTTTTTATGCCAGTTTTATTTTTTTTAACTGTGATTTTGTAGCATAATTTGAAGTCAGGTAATGTGAAACTTCCAGCTTTGTTCTTTTTGTTCAGGATTTCGTTGGCTATTTTTTTTTAATGGTTGCATTTACATTTTAGGGAAAGTTTCTTTCTGCTTTGAGAAATGAGAGAAAATAGTACAGAGGACAGCAACTTGCAACTTGGATATCAGCGCAGCCACAGTGAAATAAAGCACCAGGCGAATACCTGAAGCCCAGGATTCCAGGTATTTGCTCCTGGATGGTGTTTGTAGACTCACTCTTGCCAAGATGGAAATCCACAGACTTAATCCACAGTCACAGGATAATTCATCACCTGTTGACTAACACGGTCTTGGCCTTGAATAAGTATTAGCAGCAGCCAGTCAGTGCTGGCCACAACACTTGGGTGAGCCCCAGTACTGTGCTAGTCTGCAAGACTTCAGGTGTATCCCTGTGTAGTAACAGCTGTGGTGACCATGAGAGTGGCCACATCACACCTTTCCCAACTCCAGGGATCCCAGTGCAATGAGAGACTCTTTCTATTTGGGGGGAAAGAGAGAAAGGAGAGCAGGAGACTGCCAGGCAACTCAGGGAATTATCCCTTATCTCACTCATATGCACCAAGGCCGTGTATCTAGGAGGCTACAAGAAGAGTTACAGTGTTTGGGGGCTCAGTTAGTTTCCTGGTGCTGAAACAACTGCAGTGACTGCAGGCTTAGGCCACAACACTCAATCTCCTTTTAATCTGTGAAAAGCCCTCTCCAGAAGAATGAATGAAAGTAAGCCCAGACTTGGAAGATTGGAATAAATACGTAACACTTCAATGGCCTGATATGCACGAGCATCCATAAGCACCAAGAACATCCAGGTAAACATGACTTCTCCAGATGGACTAAATAAAGTACCATGACTATATTAGTCCATTTTCACACTGCTATAAAGATACTACCTTGGACTGGGTAATTTATTTTAAAAAATGTTTAACTGACTCACAGTTCTGTGTGGCTAAGGAGGCCTCAGAAAACTTGTAATCATGGCAGAAGGTGAATAAGAAACTAGGAATTTCTTCACAAGTCAGCAGGAGAGAGAGAGTAAAGGGGAAACTGCCAATCACCTTTAACATCATCAGCTCTTATGGAAACTCACTCACTATCATAAAACTATCACTGTCATAGTACAGGGGAAACTGTTCTCATGATCTAATCGCCTCCCACCAGGCCCCTCCCTTGACACATGGGGATTACAATTCCCAGTGAGAGTTGGGTGAGAGCACAGAGCCAAACCATATCATTCTGCCCCAGCCCCTCCCAAATCTCAAGTCCTTCTCACATTTCAAAAACAATCATGCCTTCTCAACAATCTCCCAAAATCTTAACTCATTCCAGCATTAACTCAGAAGCCCAACTCCAAACTTTCATCTGAAGAAAGGCAAGTCCTTTCTGCCTATAGCCCATAAAATACAAAACAAGTTAGTTACTTCCAAGATACAAGGATTTGGGTAAATGTTTCCATTCCAAATGGGAGAAATTGGCCAAAACAAAGAGGCCACAGGCCCCATCTAAGTCCAAAATCTGGCAGAGCACTCATTCTATCTTAAAGTTCCAAAACAACATTGGCTCCATGTCTCACATTCAGGGCATGCTGATACAAGTGGTGGGCCCCACAGACTTGGGCAGCTCTGACTCTGTGGCTCTGCAGGGTGCAGCCCCTGCAGCTATTTTCATGGGTTTGTGTTGCATGCCTGTGGCTTTTCCAGGCTCACAGTGCAAGCTGTTAGTGGGTTTACTGTTAATTGGGTCTGGAGGACAGTGGCACTTTTCTCACAGCTACACTAGTCAGTGCTCCAGTGGGGACTCTGTGTGGAGGCTCAAACCACACATTTTCCTTCTGCACTGCCCTAGGAGGGATTCTCCATGAGGCCTCTGCCCCTGCAGCAGACATCTGCCTGTACATCCAGGTGTTTCCATACATTCTGTGAAATCTAGGTGGAGGTTCCTAAACCTTAACCATTGCCTTCCGCATACCTACTTACCCAACACCATGTTGAAGCCACCAAGGCTTAGGGCTTGCACCGACTGAAGCAATGGCCCAAGCTGTATTTTGTCCCCTTTCAGCCACAGCTAGAGCTGGAATGGCTAGGATGCAAGACACCGTGTTCCAAGGCTGACAGATCAGCAGGGCACTGAGCCTGGCCCAAGAAACCATTTTTACCTCCTAGGCCTCCTGGCCTGTGATGGGAGGCATTGCTGCACAGATCTCTGAAATGCCCTATAGACATTTTCACCTTTGTTTTGGCAATTGGGACATTCAGCTCCTCATTGCTTATGCAAATTTCTGCAGCTGGCTTGAATTTCTCTCCAGAAAATGTTTTTTTCTTTTCTACCACATGGTCAGGCTACAATTTTTTCAAACTTTTATGCTCTGCTTCCCTTTCAAATATAAGTTCCAATTTCACACCATCTCTTTGTAACTACATATAAGTGTACACTTTGAAAAAAATCCAGGTAGCCTCTTGAATGTTTTGCTGATTAGAAATTTCTTCTGCCAGGTACCCTAAATCATCTCTCTCAAGTTCAAAATTCCACAGATTTCTAGGGCAGGACAGAAATGCCACCAGCCTCTTTGCTTAAGCATAGCAAGAGTTACCTTTGCTCCCATTCCCAACAAGTTCCTCATCTCTGTTAGAGACCAACTCAGCCTGGACTTCATTGTCTGAATCATTAGCCACATTTTGGTCAAAACCAATCAACAAGTCTCTAGAAAGTTCCAAACTTTATCACATCTCCCTGTCTTCTTCTTCTGAGCCCTCCTAACTGTTCCAATCTGTGCCCATTACCGAGTCCCAAAGTTGTTTTCACATTTTCAGGTTATCTTTATAGCAGCATTCAACTCTGCTGATACCAATTTTCTGTATTAGTTTGTTTTTGCACTGCTATAAAGATACCACCTGAGACTGGATCATTTAAAAAGAAAAGAGGTTTAACTGACTGAGAGTTCCATGTGGGTAAACAGACCTCAGGAAACTTACAATCATTGCAGAAGGTAAAGGATAAGCAAGCACCTTCTTCACAAGGTGGTGGTATAGAGAGAAAGCAAAGGGGAAACTGTCAAAAAATTTTAAAACTATCAGCACTCATGACAACTCACTCACTATCACAAGAACAGCATGGCAGAAACTGTCCTCGTGATCCAATTGCCTCCCACCAGGCTGCTTCTCCATCATGTGGGGATTACACTTCCAGGTGAGATTTTAGTGGGGACACAGAGCCAAACCATATCAATGACTAATCCTGGAGTGATAGAGACATGTGACTTTTTCAACAAGAAATTCCAAATAGCTGTCTTGAGGAAGCCCTATAAAATTCAAGTTAACACAGAGGAGGAATTCTGAATTATAGAAAAATTTTTTAAAAAGTCAGTCTAAAATTTTGGAGCTGAAGAATTTAATTAACAAACTGACAAACGCATCGGAGTCTCTCAACAACAGTATTGATTAAGCGAATAAAGAAGTAGTTAGCTTTAAGACAGGCTTTATGAAAATATACACAAAAAAGAAAAAACTATAGAAAAGAATTAAGCACACCCAGGACCTAGAAAATAGCCTCTAAGGGCAAATCTAAAAGTTATTAGTCTTAAAAAGAATACATTTAGAGACATATGGGTAGAAAGTTTTTTCAATGAAATAATAATAGAGAAATTTTCAAACCTAGAGAAAGATCCAAATAGCTATTTTGAATGTCAAAGAACACAGAAGGAATTTAACATAAAATGAGCCTACCTCAAGGCATATAATAATCAAACTCTCAAAGGTTAAAGACAAATGATCCCAAAAGCATCAAGAGAAAAGAATCAAATAACCTATAAAGGAGCTCCAATATATCTTGCAGCAGAAATCTCAGCAGAAAATTTAAAGTCCAGGAGGGAATAGGATAATATATTCAAAATGCTGAAGAAAAAAAAGGTTTCAACCTAGAATAGTATATCCAGCAAAATTTTACCTTAAACTACAAAAGAAATCAGAGTTTTTTTGTTAAACACGAATGACTCCATTTTTATTTTGACAAATTTCATATTTCTCCATTTTGATCAAAGTCTTTTTTGATGCCTCAAGAAAAGTCAAGAATAGAGAATCAAGTTATTCTGGAGGAAAACATTATTCTTTTGGGTTTTTGTGATACAAATTTCATACACAAAAAGAGTGGTAAATATGTGTGACTTAAACTTAAAACTTTCTGCACAGCAAAAGAAACAATCAGCAGAGTAAACAGACAACTCAGAGTGGGAGAAAATCTTCACAATCTATACATCTGACAAAGGACTAATATCCAGACTCTTCAAGGAACTAAACCGAATTATCAAGAACAAAACCAATCCCATCAAAAAATGAGCTAAGCACATGAATAGACAATTCTCAAAAGAAGATATACGAATGGCCAACAAACATATGAAAAAATGTTTAACATCACGATGATTAGGGAAATGCAAATCAAAACCACAGTGTGACACCACCTTACTCCTACAAAAATGGCCATAATCAAAACATCATAAAATAATAGACGTTGGTGACAATGCAGTGAAAAGGGGACACTTTTACACTGCTGGTGGCAATGTAATCTAGCCCAACCACAATGGAAAACAACATGGAGATTTCTTAAAGAACTAAGAGTAGAACTACTACTTGATACAGATACCCACTACTGGGTATCGACCCAGATTGAAGGAAGTCATTATACAAAAAAGATACTTGCACACACGTTTATAGCAGCACAATTCACAATTGCAAAAACATGGAACATGGAAGCAGTCCAAATGCCATCAATCAACGAATGGATAAACAAATTGTGAAAGTTACATATATATATGTAAAGTTACATATATATGTGTATATATATATATATATATGTCAAAAAAAGAAACACAGTAATGACATTCACAGCAACCTGGGTGGAATTGGAGACCATATTCTAAGTGAAGTAATTCAGGAATGGAAAACCAAACATCATACGTTCTCATTCATAAGTGGGAACTAAGCTATGAGAATGCAAAGGCATAAGAATTATACAATGAACTTTGGGGATTTGGAGAAAAGGGTGTAAGGGAGGTGAGGGGTAAAAGACTACAAATTGGGTACAGTGCATACTCCTCGGGTTATGGGTGAACCAAAATCTCCAAATCACCACTATGGAACTTACTCATGTAACCAAACATGACCTGTTCCCCAAAAGCCTATGGACAATATATATATTTTTTAAGATACACATTTCAGTGTCAGTTCAAAGAATCAGTTTAGAATGGGAGAGTAGTGTTACAGGAGCTAATTAAAAAGGTGATGCAGAGAATTATTATCCAAACTCTTTTCAAGGGGAGAAAGAAGAGCAGAAGGCAATGAAGTATGACTTGTGAATCACATGTAACAAATTATGCCAGTAGCTAAATTTTGAAATATGAATCTGAAAAATGTTAAGAAAAAAACATTTTCTTGAGAAATGAAATTAGCATTTTGAATAAAAGAAAGTATTTTGTTCCACTGAAAAGAAAAAAAAAGGATCCTGTAAAACAGAAAAAAAAGGAAATTCAAAATTAAAACCTCCAGTACCTTTACTAAGAGCAGTTTAATATTTCAAGAAAACCTTATCATTTTATATAGGAAACCATTTTTGGTTTTATATTAGTGTATTTTAATATCAAATATTAATCTTTAGAAAGATTAATTTAGAAAAACAATTACCTTTTAACTATAGCCTACTTGATTACACAATTTTTTTTAAAATTTACCTTTTACTAACCTCATCATGACTTACGCAGACCTTTGACAACACACTTAGACTTTCTGCTTTGTCCTATATTTTCTCTTTCCTTAATTACCTATCATTTTGGTTTAGTACAAAAATTTACCTCTCAAGATTATTTTTCTGAAAAAATTATCTTTTTTCTAACCTTTCTTACCAAAAAAATCTTTAAATTCAAAACCTTTTTCACATCTGTCTTTCCTACTTGCTGCTTGCTCTTTATTTTGTTTCTATTTCCTTCTTAAATGCATGTTTTTAAACAACCTTTTAATAACCTCTGAGTTAGACAAAATAATTATTTTTAAAATGAAGAATACATTTAAAATGATTTTCTTTTAATTTTTCTCATCAAAAATACATTTCAGCTTTTTGGTACACTTTATATACACACATATTAATTTTTAGCAAAACCTAGGAAGCAATAAATTTTCAAATCTCTGTCACATATCACTATTATAGAGGTGAGAACTATTTTATAAGTTTTAGAAACAGTTTTCCCCATCACAGAATTATTCTTATATGTATTCATAGACCCAAATAAACTTAATCTTTCTATAAAATTTAACAAGTCAAGAACAAGATTTATATTAATGTTCAGTAGTTTATGTTTTTTCTGTCTTATATGAAAATGCTCCAAGAATTTAATTGGTGTTAATTATTTAATTTAACATAACTTTATGATTTCAAATTGCATGACATGTTTGTTTTTAAATGTTTATCCCATTTAGGTTTAACTAATTTATTTGTTTTTAACTATTTTCCTAGATTACTTATGAAAACTTAGATATCAGATGAAGCTTATCATTTCAAGTTATTCCTTTGTGAATCTTTTTTATAGCCTGTGAATATCAGATGTTCACAGAAATAACAACTTGAAGCTTAAATATATGGGTATTTTGCCAATAACTCAGACGATATAGCTCTGTAAAAATTAAGCCAACAATATTCACTTAGTCTTACTTATGAAAGAATTGCACAAAGAGCATTCTGTTTTAGGCTGGGTTTATTGTTTTATAACTTCTGTGTCAAAACTTGACACCATAAAACATCTAGTAGACACTAATATAAAGCAGTCTCACCAATAAACCCAGGCAAACATTTATGCTGACTTTTCAAAGATATTTATATTGACATCTTAGCAACCATTATACAACAAGCTTATTTATGATTTACTTAAGTCACTTAACTAAAAATCATTTGGACTATTTATTACTATATAGCTTACTTGAGCACTTATTTAAGCCAATCTGAATTGAATTTCTTAAGAGCTTTCTGGACAACTGTGGTAGAATTTATCATGTAGACTCAACATACAACATAATGTATGTATGTAGGTGTAAACACACCTAGACATGTGTACACACATAGATCTCATAGTTTTCATATTAGAATTTTAGACATGAAATAGTTACATACATTTGCCAGTTTATAAAAAAAAAAAAAGTTGGATCCAAATTGTATTTTTGACAAAGTGAGACATGTTCACATGGGTAAAACTTGGTTTGCCCTTACAGGTAATCTAATGAATGCTATAAAGCAACATTTTGGGTAAATAGTTGGTTTTAAATAATCAATTTTAGCCTTTTTTTCCAATTTTAAATGAGGTTAGCAATACATTTTGTAATGTTTATATTTTAGCTAGGACTTTCTGAATTGTACAAGAAAAGAAATTCAATATGGCCTTGAATCAGTAACAAATCTATCTTCTGTTTGCAACTGATCTCCTTGACTAGTCAATGAGAGTAGGTAAGCATTTCAGCAGGTTCTTTTTTATTTTATTTTAACTTTTTTGCTCATTTGTTTTCCTTTTTGATCCCTGAATGACAGACAAGAAATTTTGATGTCAGATAGAGATACTTCATATTATTTTTCTCAGCTTAAGATTTTGACCTATTTGTTCTGAAAGCGTAAATATATAAACACTTTTCTAGGTCTTTTTTTTTAAGACAATAATGTTTTCATTAACTGTTCCATCAATCTAAGTAACTGTTAGTAAGGCAAACCTATATTTATGTTTTCAAAAGGTATCTAGGTTGTTGGTTACTGTGAAGTTATTGTTGTTTGTAAAGCCATGAATTTGAAAGTCCTTTAAGATTTATTTATTCATTTAACCATGGCTGGATTGTCTTCAGTGGTGGGTGTTCATCTCAACACCAGCAGAAAAGTCAGCAAATTAAAAGTAGGCAAAAAATAAATAGAGAACTTAGAAGGTTCTACATGCTTACTTTATAAATGCAGGTTTTTTTTTTTTTGAGGCTTTGAATAGTGAACATTCAAGCTCTGATTTTTTTTCTTGATGTAATTTGCCTATCAGTTTAAAAACATGCATGAGAAGAGGTTATAATACAGCTGACTGAATCTTCAGATAACTTGACATGCCTTAAAGTTTGAGAATCTCATTAGTTTTACATTAATCTTTTGAGATTAAAAAAATTATATAAATCCTGTCACGGAACAACAGGAGATTGGACTGATGTTTCAGGTTGTGGCAATACCCCTAGTGGCTTTCAATTAGCCATCCTGAATCCACCATTTAGAATGTTTATTTTTGCTATTGGAGGATTTTCAGAAACAAGTAAGGGTAAAAAGCCAAATCACTTACAGATGTGCATCAACAAACCAACATCGAAGTGTTCACGAAATTTTAATCCAGGCATGCAGAATAAACAAAATATTAAATTAGGTGTGCAGAAAGAATTAAATTTACCAGAAAAAAAAATGCCTCAGAGTCAGAATGTAAATTCTCTAAGAAACTGGAATACCTAGACCAGAAGGACATTTGTCTTTATACCAGAAAGTACTTGCCAGAAAAAACAAGAGTCTTTTATCACACCAGGAGGAATCTAGGATTTTTTTTAATAAATGTGGACTTATAACCAAAACAAATCCCAAATAAAACAAATAGGCCCTCTCTTGGCCTGAGAGAAGACTATACAGAGTAGAAAAGTTGAGCCATCAAAGTGGAGAGCTTTGGCCAGGTGTGGTGGGTCACGCCTGTAATCTCAGTACTTTGGGAAGCCAAGGCGGGTGGATCATGAGGTCAAGAGATGGAGACCATCCTGGCCAACATGGTGAAACCCCGTCTTTACTAAAACTATAAAAATTAGCTGGGTGTGGTGGCAAGTGCCTGTAGTCCAAGCTACTCGGGAGGCTGAGGCAGGAGAATCACTTGAACCAGGATGTGGAGGTTGCAGTGATCTGAGATCACGAGATCATGCCACTGCACTCCAGCCTCGACAACAGAGGGAGACTGTCAAAAAAAAAAAAAAAGTGGATAGCTTTAAGGGCTCAAGAGAATACTATACTAGTTCCAAGAATTGTTGTGTTTTTTTTTTTGAGATAGAGTTTCGCTCTGTCGCCCAGTCTGGAGTGCAGTGGCGCCATCTCGGCTCACTGCCAGCTCTGCCTCCCGGGTTCACGCCATTCTCCTGCCTCAGCCTCCCGAGTAGCTGGGACTACAGGTGCCTGCCACCGCGCCCGGCTAATTTTTTGTATTTTTAGTAACACGGGGTTTCACCGTGTTAGCCAGGATGGTCTCGATCTCCTGAGCTCGTGATCCACCCACTTCGGTCTCCTAAAGTGCTGGGATTATAGGCGTGAGCCACCACTCCTGGCTAAATTGTTGATTTTTTAAGATAGTGATTATTCTTCAAATCTCACTTTGGGCACTATTTATGTCAAACTAAATAACAAACAGAATTACCCTGAAAGAAAATAATATTTATTTGAGAACCAGGCATTGCAATGGGAATGTACACATAATCTACTATAACATGCGTATTCTCATTGCAATGTCCTATTTCCAGAATAAATATAATTTTCTATTAGAGGGCCTCTCTCTGTTATTTAGGTTGGTGATAGTATAAACTAATATTGTAGCTCACATATATGTTACCATGAGCATTTAAAGGAAGAGTGTAGAACTCCCTATATTCTATGGGGTATAGTTCAGGAAAACTAAGGGGTTACTATCTTCATTTCTACATAGAAGAGAAACTCTGTCTCAGAGCAAAGCAAAAAAGCTTCTTTTATTGCTTTTTTTTTCTTTTTTAAATGAAATTCTCAGTAGAATTAGAAAATAAAGTTTTTAGCTTTATTTTGTTTCAGGGCTCTAGGTAATAACAAACATTCATGTAATTGTCACTTTGTAAAAATGTGCATGCATTTGAAACATTACAGAAATAGAAGTAGATAAGATTACGGTCGGCCGGCAGCGATGGCTCACGCCTGTAAAGCCAACACTTTGGGAGGCTGAGGCGGGCAGATCGCGAGGTCAGGAGATCGAGACCATCCTGGCTAACACGGTGAAAGCCAGTCTCTACTAAAAATACAAAAAAATTAGCCAGGAGTGGTGGTAAGCGCCTATAGTCTCAGCCACCGGGGAGTCTGAGGCATGAGAATGACGTGAACCCGGGAGGCGGAGCTGGCAGTGAGCCGAGATCGCGGCACTGCATTCGATCCTGGGCGACAGAGCGAGACTCTGTCTCAGAAAAAAAAAAAAAAAGAAAGAAAAAAAGATTACAGTCATTTCTAATATAAAATGCAATAATCTTTAGTTGATAATGCTAAAGAGTTCTAAAGAGTTTTATAAGGTGCATTTATATTTGTTTGTTTGGGGAGGTTACCGATTTGTCATTCCTGCACTAAGCTGCTAATATAACATACTATCTTAATAAATTTACAAATGCTGAACATTTCACAAAATCGTATGATAACACTTAGGTAGACATGATAAATACAAGGCTTACTTTGTCCTACTATATGAAATAAGCTTTTATAAAAATGTATCTAACTACTTTTGGTCTATTATTTCACTTCGAATATATGTTTTCCTTGTTAAGTTTTATTTTTAGGACCTTAGTCTGGTTGAATGAGTTGAAAATATTTCAGTTGCTAAATTAGTTTGAAATGTTTAAAAAATATAATCACTTTCTAAAATTCATGGTAGAACTTCTTTGTAAAATTCACCCAGAACAATCTGGGGACAGATATATTTCTTCCACAATAATTTTAATTCAATATTTTCTACTTGGCCTTAAACAAATTTTAGTAATTATATTTTCCTGGAAATTAAATCAGTATATTTACAAATACAATTGTATATAAAATATCTTAAATGATTGAAACTAATCAGTATATAGAGTTAGGTCTTTTTAATTTTAATGGTTTATAGACATGACACCTATCATTTTATTTCTTTACTTAACTTGATGGAGATCACTGTATTTAATAGCTTTTATGTAACTACTATCTAAAACCAGAAACTAATAGTTGATATAGTTGTGTTCTTAATATTTTGTCTTGTAATTGCATATTTTAGGGTTATTTTGATGTTCTTTTCTGTAATTCTTATGTTTAAAACATCATGGAATCACTTTTCAAGCTTTATTCTAATAAAATTTTTCTTTTATCTATTTGTTTCTAAAATGGCTTTACTGCATTCAATTGGTTTTGGTTTGCAAATCTGACACTTCAACTAGTTTGAATAAATTATAGGATAAATTTTGTTTAATGTGGTATTTAAATTAAATTTTTGTTTTCTAAATTAAAAAGACATTGGTTAATTATATTTTATTGTTAATTTCAAATTGTATTGCATGGTTTCAATCTGTATTATGTTTGCAATTTAGAAGATGTTAAGATATATTATTTCTTGGTAGTCTTTTCCTTTTTTCTGTTCATTTATTTTTGTTAGTCTTTTTTAAGATTATCTGCTTTCTAAGTAAAAATTTAATTCACTAATTTTTGTGATTCAGATCTATATAATATAGATAATATATCTGTATTATATTTTATTTTTATTGGCTGTGATTTTCTTTTTGTAATTTTCTCTGCCTTATTTGGCAGAAAACAATGTTAGGTAAAGTATTGTAAGTTTTGTTATAAATATATTCTTTATTTCATACTTACTGTGTGTTTTTCCTTTTTTTTTTTTTGAGACAGAGTCTCACTCTGTCGCCCAGGCTAGAGTGCAGTGGCACGATCTCGGCTCACTGCAAACTCTGCCTCCCGGGTTCATGCCATTCTCCTGCCTCAGCCTCCCGAGTAGCTGGGACTACAGGCGCCCGCCAGCACGCCCAGCTAATTTCTTTTTGTATTTTCAGTAGAGATGGAGTTTCACCGTGTTAGCCAGGATGGTCTCGATCTCCTGACCTCGTGATCTGCCCACCTCGGCCTCCCAAAGTGCTGGGATTACAGGCGTGAACCACCGTGCCTGGCCTAAAATAGTAAATATTGTTGTTACCTTGCCAGTCATTACTTACTAATAACCTTAACATATTATTTCTATTTTTCCAGTGTTTAAACGTATAAATTTTTTAAAACTTTTCTTTAAAAGTCTATAACATTATTTTCACTTCACAAAAATATATGAAGTTTTCCTGTTTTTATTTCCTTCCATTTCTCCCTCCATCTCCTCAAATTCCATTCTAGAGGGACTTGTAGTACCAATTGTTGGAAATTATTTATTATAGAATGTAATTTATTTAGCAATGTGACTATTTATTATCTAAACACTTATACAAAACTGCCTATATCATTCTAATAGCATCATTCTAATTACATTACTGGTATTAATGCATTTTATTTTTATATAGATGATATTAGAGTTGACCTTCCATATCCGTGGGTTTAGCACCCATGGATTCAGCCAACCACAGATCAAAAATATTTGAAGTAATAAAAGTGTACTGAACATATACAATTTTTTTCATCATTTTCTAAACAATGCCTTATAACAACTATGTGCATAGCACTTCATTGTATTTGTGGTTATAGGCAATCTGGAGATGATTTATAATGTACAGGAGAATGTGTGTCAGTTATATGCAAATATACAGTATTTAATACAAATAATTTTAGCATCCACAAATTTTGGCATACATAGGGAGTCCTGGAGCCAATCACCCACAGACACCAAAGAACAACTTTAGACAAATTTGATCACTTTTATTGTCATTGTATAAATGAGTAAATATTATGCAGAAAGAATTTACATGATTCACTTAATATCAAACAGCTAGTATTAGGTAGTGGAATCAGTCCACAAATACGACCCGACTGGCTTCAGAATACATGCCTTTAATCATTTAGACAGAAATGCAAGTATTTCCAGTTTTTCTGTTCATCACTGTCTATATCTTTCCTTTGATATTGCTCTCCTTTTTAAACCTTTTCTTTTTTTTTTTTTTTTTAGGACGGAATCTCGCTCGTTGCCCAGGCTGGAGTGCAGTGGCACGATCTTGGCTCACTGCCAGTTCTGCCTCCCGGGTTCACGCCATTCTCCTGCCTCAGCCTCCCGAGTAGCTGGGACTACAGGCACCCGCCACCACGCCCGGCTAATTTTCTGTATTTTCAGTAGAGACTGGGTTTCACAGTGTTAGCCAGGATGGTCTCGATCTCCTGACCTCGCCATCCGCCCGTCTCGGCCTCCCAAAGTGTTGGGATTATAGGCCTGAGCCACTGCGCACGGCCTAAACCATGTCTCTTAATTTACTTAGAGATAATTTGTGGCAAATGGTTATATATGTTAAAATCTTAGACTGTCATATAAAGTGACACTTGGCAAAGACTTCAAAATGCAAAATAAGTTTTGTTATTTGTTATATTTTTTTCAAATTACTGAAGTGATTGTTTCTGTATCTGTCAGCATAAATTGTTTCTGTTGAGAAGATTAATTTGATGTAATTCTCATTCCACTGCTGTAACTCTTGGGTTTACATGTTTACTTCCTTTTTTGTGTAAATGTTTTGCCACTATTTCATTTCTGAAAGCATTTTAGAATTTCTTTCACATCTTGTATCACCATGATATTGCTATTGTGGGCCTTTTTATTTGAATACTCAACTAAGAATTTATTTTTGTGTAAATTAATTAATTTTAAAGATGTGAGGATTTTTTAATGCTTAAGTTCAAATTTATTTCATCCACTTTTATTATATGATGCTTCCTTTCTTCCATTTTAAAATCCTAATTTTTTGTTTGTTTGTTTTTACTTTGTTTGGTGGAATATTTAATTGTTTCTTCTTTCTTCATTTCTTTCTCTAGTTAATACATTTAAGATATTAATTATCTCTCTGAATAGAGATTTGGCAGCATTGCACTGGCTTCATTTTACTCTTCTTACTGATAAAAAATAAAATACATACAATTAAAAATTGATACAGACAAAAATAGAAATACATATTGAACCTGCATATTATCAGATACAAATACTGTCCTAATTGTCAACATAAGATAAAAGTAAAACTCAGAAATTAGAGGCCACAGAGGTGATGGAGCCATAGCAAAAGTAAAAATATATATATTCTCTCTATAAAAATATTTTATTTTATTATTAGGTTCATTTTTATTTTTTCCTGTTCTGAATTATATCTTAGAATTCAGCCAGTTAGAAAATATTTCAATATTTGTCTGCGATAACAATATGTATAAAATATTAAAAGTCGGAAAGGTAAATGCAAATGTAGCAGCAGTAAGAACACCTGAACTCTAAACTGATCTCAAATTCATGCTGGCACTCTATTTTGGTCAACCGTGTATATTTTAACATTTTCATAATGAATGTAATAGTGTTTAATTCCATAGATCAGTATTTGTGACACTTTGTTTCTCAACTGTCAAGGTATGTACCATAGATACGATGATGGTCAAGAAGTCTGAGTTACTTTGTTATAGAACATAAAATCCAGGCCAGGCAACATCAGTTACAAAAATAACAGCATACAGGCACCGCAGGAGTCCTCAGGAGGCTGACTTAAGGTAGCCTTGAACTAAGGGAAAGCCTGAGGTTTAACTAAGTTAAAAGAAATGGGAGAGCAATTTCAAGACAGTCAGTTTCAAGAAGTAGAATGAAGACAGGAAAGAGCAATTGAGAGCATGACACTTTCAGAGACTAAAAGTAATTCAGAGTTGCTAAAATTTACAGGGAAGTTGGAAAGAGAGATGAGAAGGAATAAAATTTAGTAAGTGAAGAGATCAGGGATAGCAATTTAAGTTAAACAAATTAAGTTGACTTTGCACCAAAGGCATAGGAAGAGCTTTAAGCAGGGGAATGGCAGAAGTAGTAAGATAAAAAAGAAATAAAAATTTGAATATAATAATCATAGTAAGCAAAATAGTATTTTTTGATTATTAAAAGTCAAAATTATCCTATTACAAAAATTATCAAACCAGGACACTATTTAGAAAATTGGATGAAGTACAATGTATTTATACATAAGATACAGTAATATGAAAAAGAAAAAATAAAAGAGGGCACAAGAACAATTAAAATATGTATATTTGTATTAAGAGATAATTATTGTTGGGAGGTAGAATGTTTTAGTCTTTCACTAACACCATTTCTCCCTGTTGATCCTTATACAGTTAGAAATCTTGAGAGCTGAGATAATGTCTCTCTGTACAAGTGCAGTGTTGTTTATTTGCCATAAAGAGTAGTAGATTTTTTAAGCTCAGTATTACACACCGCCCATGCAGGCTTCAACTGACCCTCCATGTCACCTTAGGGAACTTCAGGGCAAAGGAAACTTGAACAAGTTTGATGACATTGCTAGTATTGGCTGTGTGGTGGTTAATTACATTATTTGTCTCTGATCCAGAAATCTGATGTCTTCTGACAGCATCTATGGAACTGTAACAGGCTGACTCATTACCTCGTAAGTGAAGTAAAATCAGTCATCTTAAAATTATGTAATGTGTTTGATTTATTTTTGAGAGGGTAAATAAAGTGTTTAGTATTCTAGAACCAGTACTTTAAAGAAATAGAATAAATTACCAAAAAATATTTTGAAAAATATCTCAGACACCAAATAATTTTGGAGAGTTCTTCCAAATTATTGAAAACCTTAAAAACAAATTTTACCCACTGAGGAAAGTAAGATATTTCAAAAAGTATGCCAATTTATTGTATTAGACTAACAAAGTGTGCAGAGTAATAAACAACAATTAATTCTGAAGATCAGTCTTATCTGTGACCATCACTGGAGAAAGATACAATTATCAGGTAACACTAAGAATCAAATAATAATGTATAGTCCAGTATAGTACATGTGCTTTCAGCTGTCAATTTAGCAAAATTCTAACAATGTTAAAGCAAATTCTCATGGTCTTAGTTTCTGATTTTATTAGCAATGTATCAGAGAAAATGCTAGATTGGGATATATGAATGCCAATTACTACTTATTATTTCATGTATTTACTAGTTGAAACATTTTTTCTAGACTTTGCTAAAAATGTATTAACTGACTGGCTTCTTGAAGTAGAGTCATTTACCTTATATTGATAGCATCTAGTGTAAGTAATGTCAGGCATTTGGAAAATTATCAATAAGCATTTAATATTAGCAATAAGTATCCTTTATGAAAGTCAATTATGGACCCATTATTTCATTGGGTGCATTAGGCATATGTATTTCATATTCACAGCAGCAGACATGGAAAGTGAAGGTAAGAGAAAAGATGTAAACATGACTTTCTCCTTTGTAAGAATAAGAAAAACACTTCACGTTGTTTCTTTCAATATTGTAAGGCAAAACTTATTAATGTTGGTTAAATGCAGTATATTCTTTATTGCCACTGTAAAAATTGACACAATATTGATGGCTTCAAACAACCCAAATTTACTATTTTACTATTCTGCATGTCAGAAATCCAACATGAATCTTACTGGCTAAAATCAAGGCATCAACACAACCGTGTTTCTCCATGGAGACTCCAGGAAATAAACTTTCTTTGGTTCTTCAGGTTGTTGGAAGAATTTCCTTGCTGTGGTTGGTTGTAGGACTGAAGTCCTTGTTGCCCTTCAAACCTGCAAACACTGATACAAGTCATTATTACCTGTTATTACTCCTTATTACCTCTTTTACCCATCTCTGGATTCCTCTTTTATTATTTTGATCTCTCCTATTCCTCTCTTTTTTTTTTTCAATTTTTAGGACACATGTAATTAGATTGATCCAGCAAATAATCAAGGATAATCTTCCTGCTTTATAATGTGTAACCTTAATTCCATCTTCAATGTCTTTGTTTTCCATTTTTTGCCATATAATGTAACATACTCACAGATTCCAGGGATTAGGACATGCACATCTGTAGGAGATTGCTTATGTCACTACTTCATTAATTAACGAATAGAACTACCAAAATGATTACCTTAACAAATTTATGTTTTCCATAAATAATTTAACTTATATACTAGATAACATAATTCAGATTTATTTTCCAGAAAGTTTATATCTATCAGCAAAAGAACACATTATAATAATAGATTAATAATAATTATAATCAAGTTTAAGTGTAAGTTCTATTGGAAAATTTTAAAAAAGAATTATTTCTGACCCATACTAAGTTTCTTAACAACAGAATTTTTAAATTTACACCTTAATAAGCAAAATGAGTAAGAAATGTACTTTGCATTTCAAATAGAAATACACTGAGAGTTTTAACTGAAGACGTGAAGTCATAAATGTTGATAAGAACTCCTGAAAACCATTGCAACTAGCAAATTTTCAATAAAATTGGTTGGCTATTTTCTGTATTTTAGTTTATAGATATATTATTCTTTATCTTTATGTGCTTCCTTTGGGTCATTTTGTGTTTTTCTCATTTTATTATAATTTTACATTAAATAATCATCTTATTTTTAACAGACTCCTGTACAATAGAAAAAAAAAATACCCTTTCCTCATCCATTGCTGGTGTCTTGTCTGAGATACCTATTAAAAAAAGTAACTAGAGAAAAGCATGCAAATTTATTTAATTAATTTTATGTGACACAGACTCCTTCATTAGGAGATGAAGACCTTAGGAACCAGAAAAAAATTGTATTTTTGTAAACAATTAGCAGAATCATGATTGGAGGGGAAAGAGTATGATGTAATGGTAACAAAGTGGGAGGAACTTAGCGAGGTCTGTTTGTCCAGATACTTCTTGCCATCTGTGTGACATTCTTTCTGTCTAGGTATAGGGAAGACACCTAGACAGGTGTAAAAAAACCTGTAAGATGAGGTTAATTAGGAATTAAGGGAGGGAGAAGGCCAGAGAGTGTGTTTCCTGAATTGTATGGCCTGCTTCAGGGGAGAATAGTGGAGAGAAGATGAGAGTGGCTTTCTCGCTTCTACTGTTCTCTCAAATTCTATTGTGTCATATTTTGGGGTAGCATTTCCTGCACTCAGTGACTCCCCAACGTCATTTTAAAGTTTTGGAAACAAAACTCCAGTAAATTAGTTTCTATATCTTCGTAAGAATATTTTTAAGTTGGTAGAATAATTCTAGATTAAAAGAAGAGCTATTTGAACAATCTTCTGAATTTTTAGGTGCATTTTTGAATTCATAGTTGTATTTTTATACCAACAATTAGAAGGTAAAAATGAAAATTAACATCACTGGTATTCACAAAGTATTTTTAAAAATGTAAACTACTTCTTAAATGGGATAATAATTTTGTCTAGCTATAAAAATTTAAATATTTACATTTCACATATAACTGAATTGTTTCAAGTATTAAAAAGAAGAAAATACTTAGGACCTAGAGTACTTTTAAAACATAGAAAACAATTTAGTATTTGTTTAATAGACTTTTCTGTGCTAAACCATTAGTAAGAACCTAATATCAATGAATAAACCTGAAAATATGTTATGTATATGTATAGAAAAAGTCAGTCATTTAAAGATATTAATTCATCTCAAGAAAATTTATAAATCAAAAAAAAAATCCATACAGATGTCCAAAATAATTTTGAAAAAAAAAAGAAGGTAGAGAAAACGAAGACATAAAAATAAGAGAAAATGAGTAGGGAGAATTAGGAATTGGCCTTTCCTGACATAAAAATTTGAAATAAAACCAAATGCAACAACTCGGTTAAAATGTTTTTATTGAATTAACTCAGAGCCATTTTTTTCTGGAAATAAGTAATGCCAGATGTAAACAAATACTTAAATGTATACGCTATCTTAATTAGGCTTTTTTTTGTGTAATGAGAAAAATATTGGCTTTCAGGTGGAGGTTAATTTAACATAATAAAATATACATTTCTGTAAAGATCACTGTCTATATTTAAGATAATAGGCTAAAGAGGAGGAAACACACATTGGGGAAGCCAATTAGTAGGCTATTGTGGTACCATAAACGAATAGTTAACAAATTGTTTTCAAATTCTTTATTAAGTCTGGTGCCATTATTCTAGGGTTCTCTGACTTCAGTGTTTCCATTAAAACTTTCTGGAATGTGGTATTGAATGAATGTTGAGTTTCCTGTGTTATTTTTAAACCAATTCACTTCTGCCCATGACTCATTAACCAATATTCTTTCAGTTTTTTCAACACCATTCATTCAGAAAAAAATCATTTTGGACATGGCCAGAAAAAGTAACTGAGGATAAAAATTGAATCCACAGGAGTTTTTTGTTTTTGTTTTTGTTTTATAATAATAGCTTAGGACCTGATATGATTTGGCTCTGTGTCCCCACCCAAATCTTATCTCCAATTGTAATCCCCATATGTTGGGGGAGAGACCTGGTGGGAGGTGATTGGATGATGGGGGTGTTTTCCCCATGCTGTTCTCATGAAAGTGAGTGAGTTCTCATGAGATCTGATGGTTTAAAAGTATGACACTTCCCATTGCTCGCTCTCTCTCCTGTCACCATGTGAGATGTGCCTTGCTTATTCTTCACCTTCTGCCATGATTGTAAGTTTCCTGAGGCCTCCCTGGCCATGCAGAACTGTGAGTCAATTAAACCTTTTCTCTTTATAACTTACCCAGTCTTAGGTATGTCTTTATAACAGTGTGAGAATGGACTAATACAGGACATAATATTAATAATTGTGCCTATTTCTATTATTAACTAAAATAAAATGATACAGGTTACCGAATCTGCATATTGGCCCACATGGATACTTATTTTAAGCTATTCTTTTCAGGGTATATATGAAGGAAAACTAATTACTCAAACTACTTATCCTTACTGTAATTGAATGAGTACTAATATTTAGGGATCAAACAAATGTCATCAGTTTGGGAAGTTCAACAAATCTTGCAGAACATGTTCTTTCCGAAAGCAATCAATATTTTGAAAACCAAGTAAATGTATTAGCAATATCATAAATATAATTTCTTAAATAGAGGGGCCTACAACATAGTCTTATGTCTATATAGGATTCTTTAGTTAGAGGACATTATTATGAGAAAATTATGGATAATAGAGGCAAGATAGCAAGATCTGGAGAAATTAGAGTAAGTGTAAAGTTCTTAAATCCTCAAATTCTCTTTAAAGTAAAACCAGAAACCTGCATAGGAATAATTACATCAGCTTTGTTTTTAATAATCAAAAACTGGAGGTAACTGAAATGTTCAATAGCTCAATGGTATACGAATGTTGCTACATCTGTACAATGGAATATTATTCACTGATTAAAAAAATTAAACTATTAGGCTACAAAAAGACATTTAAAAAACTTGAATACATATTGCTAAGTGAGATATACCTGTCTGAAAAGGCTACATACTATATAATTTTAACTACATGACATTTTGGAAATGCAAAACTGTAGAGGCTACAAAATTATCAACAATTGTCAAGGGTTTGAGATGAGAAGGAGAGAGAAATGCGTGAGCATAATAGGTTTACTGGACAGTGAAACTATTCTCTATGATATTTTAATTGTAGGATCCATGATATTGTGCATTTGTTAAAATCCATTAAAATATACAAAATAAACAGTGAGCCTTACTGTAAAGTATGATCTTAGTCAATATTTTGATGCTATGATAGAACACCACAGACTTAGTAACTTACAATAAACAAAATTTATTGGCTCACACTTCTGGAAAACTGAAGTCCAATATCAAGATGCCAGAATCCAGTGAGGGCCTTGTTGTTGGGCCATCACATGGCAGAATATGAGAGGACAAGAGAGAGCAAGAGGGAAGTAAACTCACCTTTCTTTATAAGAGCATCAATTCCACCTTTATTAGTCCTCATGGCTTAAATAACTCTTAACTCTTCCGCCTCTTGATACTTTTACAATGCCAATTACATTTCAACATGAGACTTGGAGGAGACAGAGTTCCAAAGCTTATCAACTTTGAACTTCAATTAATAATAATAATGTAACAATCACACTTAAAAGGATGTTAACAGTAGGGAAAATTGTTGGGACACAGGTGGTAGGGGAACTCTCTAGTAATTACTCAATTTTCTGCAAGTCTAAAACTGTTCTTAAAAAATAAAGTATATTAGTTAAAACTAAATGAAATATGGGTGGCTGAGGTGGGCAGGTAACCTGAGGTCAGGAGTTGGAGGCCAGCCTGGTCAATATGGTGAAACCCCGTCTCTACTAAAAATACAAAAATTAGCTGGGCTTGGTGGTGCCTGTAGTCCCAGCTACTCAGGAGGTTGAGGTAGGAGAATCACTTGAACCTGGGATGGGGAGGTTGCAGTGAGCCAAGATCACCCCACTGCACTCCAGTCTGGGTAACAGCGCTAGACTCTGTCTCAACAACAACAACAACAACAACAACAATAAATGAAATAAAAATTTGAAAATTATTTAAGAAGAGAATTGGTCACATAATATGGATATGTATTCAAGTTGAGAAAAGTAACATTTATTCACAGATGAGAAATTCAGAGGCAAGAATTTAAGTGGTCTGTCTATTTTTTTCTTTCGTTGTGCACTACAACTGAAAACACTTGACCGATTAATAAGTATGCACAGTTAGTGATTGATCAAATCATTGTTATTTATGAGGAAATACTGTAATTACATGTTTTGTGTGTGTGTGTACATTACAATAGAGGTTTAAATGTATATTAAACTGAGAATATTACAGACTCAATATTTACTATTCTTAATTATTAATGTATAAATGATAGTACAAAGTAGCTAAGATTTTTTGGTCTGGCTTCTACAGCATTTAAGAAATAGGCTTTTGTTGTGTGTTCTGTATCCTGCTTTTATACAAACTCACCTCTGTTAAGATTCAATAACCAAGATATAGCACAAATATACACACAGACACACACACAAACAGACACATAACACACACAGTATTTGAACTCTGGCAAATATTTTTTCAAAAAATTCTTTTTTATGTTAGCCTACAACTTTGTTACAAAAAGGGAAATTACTTTCTTTGTGACAATTTATCAATATCTAATGGTCACATACCTTATTTTATAGCAGTTTTCTTTCATGCTCAACCATTCTTACACACAGAAAAAGTCTAACCCAAAGGATGAACAATTGTGTTGCTTAGGGATAGAGACTCTTTATTGCTCCTATGTGTTTAATTATAGGCAGTGAAGACATAAACAATATGACAGCTTGTGAAGCCAAATGGATGGAAGAGAGAAATAAAATATTTTCAGCTAGATTTTCTAATCCCTGTGGTTACAAGTAATGAAGGAACATATCATATTACCACCAGCCTCATTCACTTACACATACCTCTGAGCCAGGCTTTAGAATAGGTCTTTTCTTAATATATGAATAAAGAAATAAACAAAACACCAAACCCTGTTTTCGATCAAATTTATTTTTCTGGCAGAGGAAAAAAATAGACATGAAAAAAGTATTGTATATGGAAATAAAGAGCCTTCATCCTTCAATTTCAATTCAGTCTACTCTTATCATCAGTGTGAAGAGTGATTCAGTGTAACATGAATCCTTACTAACAGAGTTCTGCCATGAAAGAAGGGGCTAGGAATAAAGGTCAAGTCAACTGTAGTACAAAACTCCCACCTTTGTGAGTTATTAAGGGAGGATCCAGACAATTCCTCCCTAAATCCAGGCTCCCTCCAACACAATGTGTGGTAAATTTGCTGGGATTAGTCCCATTATTTATTTCTTCCTTATTTGTGGTATCCCCAAAACCCACCCAGCCTCAGTCACACTTCATGGTCCAAAATCCAATCTCTTTTAAAGCTCTGTAATCCCTATTTTTCCTCTTTTCTTACCATCCTATTTCCTGACATCCTTATACTGTTCCAGAGGAATTATTTTACATCCTGAGATCAAATTCTTTGATCTTTCCTTTCAAACTATTTTTCTGATGAAAACATGGATCTCTCCTGTGGACATGGCTTCCACTGCTGGCCTGTCAGTAATATTCGTTTTTTGTTCTCACAGCTTCACAAAACAAATCTGGGTTTTATTTATTTATTTATTTAGGATTTTTGCTCTCTCGCCCAGGCTGGAGTGCAGTGGTGTGATCTTGGTTCACTGCAACCTCTACCTCTGAGGTTCAAGCAATTCTCCTGCCTCAGCCTCCTGAGTAGCTGACACTATAGGCATGTGCCACCACGCCCATCTAATTTTTTGTATTTTTTTAGTAGAGACAGGGTTTCACCATGTTAGCCAGGATGCTCTTGATCTCCTGACCTCATGATCTGCTTGCCTCAGCCTCCCAAAGAGCTGGGATTACAGGTGTGAGCCACTGTGCCTGGCCTTTTCTTAGATAGTATTTCCAAATTCAGGGCATTCCTCCTCTCTCCTTCCTGACGATCCTTGGGTTTTTGATATGGTTTGGTTCTGTGTTCCCACCTGATATGATTTGTCCCCACTCAAATCTCATCTTGAATTGTAACTCCCACTATTCCCATGTGTTGTGGGAGGAACCCAGTGGGAGGTGATTGAATTATGGGGGAGGGTCTTTCCTGCACTTTTCTCATGATAGTGAATAAGTCTCACAAGATCTAAAGTTTTTAAAAATGGTAATTTCCCTGCAGAAGCTCTTTCTTTCCCTGATACTATCCATGTAAGACTTGACTGGCTCCTCCTTGCCTTCCTCGATTGTGAGGCCTCCCCAGACATGTGGAATTGTGAGTCCATTAAGCCTCTTTTTTTTTCCAGTCTCAGGTATGTCTTTATCAGCAGTGTGAAAACAGACTAATACACCACCCAGATCTCATCTTGGATTGTATTGCCCACTTGTTGAGGGATGGAGCTGGTAGGAGGTGATTGGATCATGGGGGGTGGTTTCCCCCATGCAGTTCTCATGATATTGAGGGAGTTCTCACAAAATCCAATGGTTTAAAAGTGGCAGTTTGCCCTGCATGCTCTCTCTCTCCTGCTGCCTTCTGAAGAAGGCACTTGTTCCTGCTTTTCCTTCTGTCATGAATGTAAGTTTCCTGAGGCCTCCCCAGCCACGTGGAACTGTGAGTCAACTAAACCTCTTTTCTTTACAAATTACCCAGTCTAAGGCAGTTCTTCATAGCAGTGTGAAATGGACTAATACAGTTTGAATCTCATGTGTATTATTATTTTTCTTCACTCACTAGCCTTCATTGTTGCTGTCATCCACAACCCACAGATTTATTCTCCTCCACAGCTCAATGATTTTAGAACATAGTATTCTTACCTCAGTTCTCTGTAATTGCAATAAATACCTGGAGGATGCTTCCAACTTCTGGCACTGCAGATCCTTGAATTCCATTTCCCTAAAGTTCTGGTCTTTATCTCAGCCATAATCTATTTAGGCTTTTTTCATTGTCTAGATCTTGTGGTACTAATTACTACATCACCTCCATGATCTCAGTTTCTTGAATTCTATACTTTGACCACCAATTCTTCTAATTTACTTCATCACCCTAAACCTAACAAAACTTCAAATCTCTTAAAACTTCCATTTCATTCATCTTACTAACTTTTTTTTTTCCCTCTTCTACTTGATGTCTCATATTTCTCATTCCGCAGTTTTAATTCCATGGCCATTAATTAACAAAACAGATATCCACCAAGTAATTAATATGTGCTTGCAGTATTTTAAGTCTTTCAGATTTATTAGCACACAAAGATGAAAAGATTCTTCTGCATTAATTCCTGAAACAATCGATGAAATACATTTGCTTCTATCAAACATCAGTCACTCCACTTCATTCTCCTAATTTATTCAAGGGTGTCATTTCTGCAATTCTTCTGTCTTCCTTCCATGTAATCAAATGTTCTCTATTATAATATTTCCATTACTACATAGTTTCTCATAAAGAAACTATGTTTTGCTTACTTTTTAAATATAATACTATTTATTTGCTCATATTTGCAGAACAACTGCTTGAAATTGTTGATAATTACCATCATTTCTAGTTGCTTTCTGACTTTATTACAATTTGTTCAAATTAGCCCTTTTTATCTATGGCTCTACCAAAACTACTCTCATTTTTGTAGACAGAAAATAGGTGAAACTTCATGATTCCTGCCCCCATATATTTATGTCTTTGTGTTTATCACTACTTTCTCCTCGTTTTTTTGACTTCTTGGATTCATCACTTCTTTGCTTTTTCTCCTAACTTGCTGGTTGATATTACTCATCTCTTGTCCTGGATTCCCATTTGCTCCCCACATGTTTAATCTATGAATTTCCTAGGACTCTAGATTCAGGCAATGATCTATGTTTCTGTTAAAGATCTTTGTCTTCAAAAAATTGAAATACAACTCTGTCTTTGGCAAAGAGAAATTTATTGTCTCAGATTTTTAGACATGGAAAGTATAGAGGTACAGCTGGGTCTCATGAAGGACTGGATTATGGTATCCAATGTTGCCATCATTCTTTCTGTCCTTCTCTCTCTATCTCTGGTCTCTGTAGGCTGGCTTACTCTGTCACTACATTTTATCCCAAACTCTAAGATTACTTTTTGTTTTGGACCTCTGTGCAAGATATACATAATTTCTTCTCCTAAGATCTGTGGACAAATGCCTCAGATAGTCTTACAAGGACTCAGAGAGTCTTATCTTGAACTCTGGTAGAAAATGGGTCACTTGGAAAACATGACTAAAAGAGTAAAGAAAAGTTTCATAAAGTCAGAGTTTCATTTTTGGAAAGTTAGAGACAATAAAGCAGTCGAGAAAAGGTTTAATAACAGTTGTACAACAGTAAACAATATTAAATTTTATCTTTTTCATCAATAAATTGTTTACATTGATTTCAAATCTGCTTCCTGAGTAATAATAATAATAATAGCTTATTTTACCCATGTCATAAGCTCTGCTAAATATTTTACAAGCATCTCGTGTGATCTTAAAGAATTTCTAAAGTAGAGATAGTATTTTTATTCTCATTATCACATGGAGGAAATCCAGACAGCTTAAGGAATGTTTCAAAGGTACCTCTGGAGTTCAAAGGTAGACTGGCCGATTCCAAACTCATGTGTTATACATTAAACCTCACTGAAGATGTGCATCCACTGATTCCTGTTCCTTTGTTCATGGGAGCAGGTGTTTCCTGATCATTAAAGCATAGACTTTGATGTGAAACAGTCCTGGGATTTGACAGGAGTCTGATGATTCTTAACCATGGTAACCTAGTCAACTTTTTAAACCTGTTCTCTGTACCTTATTTTTCAACAGGAGAACTGGGTTAGTGAATAATTGGAATTGGAGTAATAATAGTATCTACATTGAATGAATTAAATAAAATTATGCACTTGTAGGCTTTCTTGCTACATATAGTGTTCACTATTAGCTATTATTATTGTGAACAGCAAGATGTCAGAGTCTCTTCAAAACAGGTACATTTCACTCTGTTTTTCTTAAAAATCAAAATTAATTTTTAATCTCAGTTACAGGAATGGGCAAATTTTATGATAATTACAACTGAATTAACACAGGCTGATAAAGTAAGAAAGCTGAGGAAGCTGAAAGAATAAAACACTTGAATTTTTATATCTACTTATCAGAGAATTGGAGACCAGTTATTTCAAGTCAGTCATACTGCATTAAATACCTCAATGCTTCACCCACTTGGATCTGTTTCCCATGCCCTTTGACCAAGTGATAAAATTGCTTTTCTTTCCATTTGACTTTGATTCAACCATACAACCTACCTTGGACATTAAAATAAGACGGAAATAATGGCAGGCCATTTCTGAATTTTCACCTTACCTATTCTCTTTTATGCCTCTGCTGCTTCTATGAGAAAAACATGTCAGATCAAGTTCACGTGACACAGAAAGGGGAGGAAAAACACATTCAAAAAATAACATCCAATTTCTGTAGAGTAAACAAGCATGGTTAACATCAACACACCTTCCAGCTAATATCCATCTACTGTAGTTAATATTCAGCCTATCCATAGATCTATGATAATAAATTATACTTACTTTAAGCAACTAGTTTTGAGATGGCTTGTTGTGAGTCAGTTTTTAAAACAAATAGCATGGGCTAAAGCTTTACCTTTTTAAGATATTTGTATGTATGCGTATGTGTATATATATATATATATACACACACACACATAATTATTGTATGAATAAATAAATACACACATATTTCTAAAATAAATATGTAGTAATATGTGTAATGTAGGGATGTTTATATTTACATATAAAGAGAAACAGAGATAATATATACATATAATAGATGAAACTAGCCATACTGATATATAAAATATATTTTATATAATACTATATATTAATATTTGTATGGTATATATTATTTTATATTTACATAATATAGTAATATATATATTAATACACTATAGTATATAATGTACACTATTATATATATTATATATCTCCATGGCTAACTAGTTTCTTATTCTACTATGTAAAGTAACATCAAAAGAGCAATGTACCCCACAGTTTACAACTTTGGTGGGCTCCCTAATTAAAGAGTTTTTTTGTTTTTCTTTTCTTTGTAAACTTTTCTAATTAAACATTTTTTCCTGGGTTGCATTGCAAATCTTTGCGATAGATAGACATTATCTCCAATTTATCAAGTCATGACAACTCTATTATTAAAAACTATCTCCTTTATATTCAACCCCATCAACAATTTAATAAAAATAATTTATTAAACCTTTGATCTACAAATTCATTACACAGAAAATTTGGTTTAAATGTTTTAAAAATATCTTCAGGATCATTCTATTAAGGCTTTAAAAACCCTTTCATTCTCTACATGTTTTAGTATGACTGAACAAAGCAACCACATTAAAAAGGTTCATGCAAGTTCGAGGCCACCTTTATCCCTTAAGGGCTGTGTGGGAGGATGAGTTGATTTGATTAGTTCAGTACATTTATAAATCAGTGATGAGGGAGTGAATTATAGATTGATGATCATGTGTTTAAGCAGAACCCATTTTATTTAATTTTTTCATCAATTTGTACTGACTAATTATATGTGAAGAGTTTTATTCTTTTATTCCAAAGGCTTGTCAACATGTGGAATGGCAGTACAGAGGAAGATAGTAGTTCTTATTTATTGTTCTGAGCACTGAACACTCCTTTGTGTATACTTGGGATGTGAAATTACTTGATTCTCATTGTCTCTATTTGAACAAATTTAGACAACAAATAAAAAATATATAAACAACCACAGAAAAAATTCCCAATGCTTCTATATAGTTCTCATTAATCCAGTGAGATTGAAACTCTAAAATAAAAGCACAAGTACCCCTGAGTCCTTTTTTATAGTTGTTAGAGAACAGACTAGAACGTTTTTTTCAATTTTTTTGTTCATATAAACATAGTGACTTAAATGCAAAAGTGTGTTTTGTGAATAAGATCTAGTTAACTTGGTATTCTGTAAATACTTTCAAGGATTTAGACAAAGACATAGATATTTATATGCATAGTAAATGCCTCATGATGTGATGAATTTTTAGCATCCTCCAACTGTATTTTCTGATTATTAATTTTTAATTGAAAAGTGTTCTAAAATTCAAACCACTAAAATTATTCAATGGCTAATTTTTAAAATGAAATTGCACTGAGTAGAAAAAGTCTATTCAGGCCAGGCACGGTGGCTCACTCCTGTAATCCCAGCACTTTGGGAGGCTAAGGCAGGCAGATCATGAGGTCAGGAGATCGAGACCATCCTGGCTAACATGGTGAAACCCCGTCTCTACTAAAAATACAAAAAAATTAGCCGGGCCTGGTGGCGGGTGCCTGTAGTCCCAGCTACTCAGGAGGCTGAGGCAGGAGAATGGTGTGAACCCAGGAGGCGGAGCTTGCAGTGAGCCGAGATTGCACCACTGCACTCCAGCCTGGGCAACAGAGTGAGACTCTGTCTCAAACAAAAAAAAAAAAGAAAAAGTATACACATATAATGTATATTTTCAATCATGTGTTGAAATTATACAGTAAATATGACATGAAATAACCAAATCTTAATTTAAAACTACTATAATTTCCCAGACATCAGTATATTAATGTAAAATAAAAGCTACTCTGTAACTCATTTTTGATTGAAATGGTTTCTCCAATATTCGTATATAACAGTAAATCTGTGTATTTTTAAGAGTTTAACATGTACTCAAGTATTATATATGTCATATTTTACTCTAAAATAAAAAGAAGGAAAACTGTATTTGCTTCATTTTATCCCTTGCTAGCTGCTTAATGCTGGGTATAGTTTTCTGTCATTCTCATTCTTCTGTCTTCTTAGCATGAGTTTACTTAAGTGTTTGGTCACTGTTTCTATTTTTCACAGTAATTTTATCCTTGAAGCTCTTGCTTTCTTAGCAATTGAACTATTGTTGTCAGTTCCAGGCTGATGTCACATCTAATCTTAGCATTATGAGTAACAGAATTAATAGCCCTCCACTTGACACAACTATTTATCCATGACTCTTAACCTATTCCAGCTGGATGTACTCTTATTTTGAATAGATAAAAACTAATCCATTTTTTAGGGAACAAGTTGTTTGAAATTTCATTTATGACATAACATTAGAAATAAAATTATATATGCAAATCTCTATTCGTATATACTTTTTTTAAAATAAACTAAATCTTTAAAACTTGTGCACCACATTATATCCTGTAAAATTTGTCTGGTTTGTGAATTTTTCAGAAATTATTTACTTTCTTCTCTGTTACGTTTATATATTTTAATAATCATATGTATTCATGTGCACGTGTCCATGCATTTTAAAATGATAACACTTATGAAAAACACTATTCTCACTAATATCTTTGGGTATATAATTTTGAGTTTTGATTGTCATACCAAAAACCCGAATATTTGAAAGTTATTGATTCATCCTTTAAAGCAATTATTTTATATGAGCTATGCTTTGGTTTTAAGCCCATAAATTATATTGAGAATAAAACCATTACATTCTTATTGTTTTACTTGGGATTATTTTACATACAAGTGGACATAAAACTTAGCTAGAAATGGCTCCATCAGTGTTGGAATTTACTGACTCATGTCAGCATTTTGGGATGGAATTCTCAGCTGTTTTGAGGTGGTATTAATGTCAAAGCCTTGACATCTTTGCATCTTTCTTTTTTGTCTTCAGCTTTGAACTGCATCTTTGTGGGTGCAAGATAATAATATACAAGTTCAGGGCTATAAGGTAAATCATCTAAGTTTAGAAGAAAAAAAATCTCCAATCAGAAAGTAGGTGACGTAGGGGTCATCACTTGCTGACTTGCTTACCTACAACACATTGAATCTGTCTCTGGGTGATGTAGCTAGGAATATGCTGATTGGCTATCCTAAGCAGACTCATTGCTAAAGCTCTAAAAGTGGCACATCACAAGCCCATGAGGCAGGGAGGTAGTACAGTATCAAATTCTATAAGTTACTATTATTACTCTTAGAGTTAATAATAATTAACTGTAGCTAAAACCTTATAAGTGTTTCACTATCAGCTTAGTGCTGGACACTAAAAATATATCCTCAATTCAATCCTATAAATAAATTCTATGACATAGATGATATGAGTAAAAAGAATTTCTCTAGAGATTATTGTCACTGTGTTAATATAACCAGTATAAGATTTATGTAAGACATTTCTTTCAGATTTAGGTGCTGTAAGGCTGCATTTTTCTTCTGAGGTATAAAATGTATTATTTTTCCTGACAAACAGTAAAAATCTTTTAACTGACTAAATTTTATATTGTGAGAAACTCAAGACCAAATTTGGTACTAAACATTAATAACCATGTAGAACCTTACTGCTTATATATTAATTTTATAATTTTCCTCCAGTTTTAATCATCAATTAAAATGACATTTTCCTGGTTGTAGACATCTGGGCTTAGAGAGCAATGACAATATTTCCCTTATTTCCTGAAATGATGAAAAAAAAATCAAGGGCAACAAATAATAACCCATAGGGCCCACACTTTCAATATCACTAGGAGACAGAGACCACTATAACTCTAGATAATGTTTAAATAATAGAAATGGGAAAAGCAATATCAACTGCAGACCCACCATAATCTCATGTCTGCTCTAAGATTGTGGGTACAGAGAGCTTGAAAGGGGAGACCTGAAGAGACTCCATGATCAAGAACAGCCAGCAGCAGAGGGCTTAGAGGAGGCATACTACATCATCCTCAGAAAGAGAAAGTGAAATAACAAGAATAAACTTATTGAACACGGGTTGGGCCTTAGAGATTCTTAGACTTCATTATGAAGTAAAAGACTAAAAATGTGTGGAATTATAAGTGGCAGTTTGGAAAAGTGATCTTTCTTGGAAAGAACCAGATTCAGAAGAGGCAGTGTACTTCGGAGATGATGTCATGAAAGAAATAAAGAAAATAGAGGGGAAATGTATGTATCCTACTGAAGTAAGTATTCTACAGCTGATGAAAGAGAATAACACCACCAACTTATTTTCTCTCTTCTCCTTCTCTCAACCATGAAAGAAAATAGACAGAAGAGAGCAGAAATACCAGAATACCAGAAGAAGGAATTCACTCGCCGCTAAGAAAGAGTAGAAAAGGGTAGACATCATAAAATTTCTGTATAAAGTTAGATATGGCAAAACACAAATGTTCAGCTAGTAGAAAGTTTCAATAATACACAAACTATACAACTGAAAAAAAAATCAACATTGCAAACAGAAATTTACATCAAAACAAAATAAAAATATGAAATATTACCTTGAATCAAAATACAAAAGAGAAATAAAAACTCATTAAAGAAAATAAAAGTTCACTAAAATCATGAAATATATGTAAAAGATAAAATAATATCATATGTAAAGACAACATCAGAAAATGCCCTTGAGATAATAGATTTATTTGAATGAGCCCTTATTAAAGCTTATTGAGTCAAGGCAGGAAAACAATCAAGAGAATAAATCAGAGATGTTTAAAATATTATAAAGGACCAGAACAAAAGTGACTGAAATGGAAGAAAGACAAATGAGGTTGAACTTTTGCATTATTATTTTCCCTGAAGAAGAAAACTAAATTATTGTACTGAAACTAATATTTCATATTATAAACTAGAAAACTTTCCAGACATAAAATTAGACCAGATAAGTCCACACTGTCTTTAATACTTAAGTGGAGTCATACTACTTCTAACCAATGGACCGTGCATGGAGACACTTTATCAAAATTTGGGAATCAATTACTTAAAATATTTGTAAATGTCCATGACTTCTTCACCAATGAGCCTGGAAACCCATATAGATAGACATGTAGACAGATCGATGCTGTTTGGAATACCAAACCATTACATGGAGGACAGTTAATTGAAGATTTGCTTGGACTTACTTTGAACTTTGAGAGAGAGAAATAAACCCTATTTTGATAGAACACTGAAATATTTGTGGTTCTTGTTATGGTAGCATAAACTAACCTATTATGCCTGATGCAATTACAGTAAAATTATGAAACCAAAATATTATTTTTGCAGTATTATATGTAAATAATAAATTATAAAATAATATAAAACTCTAAAACTGATGCACTCTCTTCTGTTATATCAGAATGCCTTTAGCTAAAGCCCAGGAACCGCTATTTATAAAATGTTCTCCAAGTATACAGCCATGGCTAAAGACCTCTACTTGATTGAAATGAAGTCTGTACATAATTATGAAAATGTTTCCGTGAAAATGTGTGTCAGAAACAAAATATGCAGAAAATTTATCATTATAAAAATCATTATTTTTCCTCTCTAGAAGATAATTTATTATTTCAATGTGATTCCATATCATCATGCATGATTTGCACCTGTTGATGTTTTGCAAAATTCTTCATTTCTAAGATGATTGCTTTATGTAGTTTGCACTTCTTCTATTTTAATTTTCATCATCCTCTAAAAAACTACTTGTTTTCTGAACTAGAGTTCTCATTAAAGTTTTGAGGGCTGATTGCAGCTGATGTGCACTGTGTAATCATAAAGCTTAGTCACATAGCTTGGAACAAGTATGGCATCTAGTCTTTCTTAGAAAGTAATTAGGTAAAATTTAACATCTTATGACCAGCATCACTTTCTCTTAAAAAAATAAAAAAGTTTGCTCCACCTGTCCTCAATTTTGTTTTGTATCACATTTCAGCTTTTTTTTTATCCTTATCATGATTCTTTTTTCTATGTTTTTTCATTTTTATTTATTTTGACTCAGCACCCTCAATAACTTTGGTATTTTTTCTTACTTATTTTTTAACATTTTCCCCTAGAACAATACTTTTGATTTTTGGCTTATGATCTGAAATATGCCCTTATCACTCCTTATCACTTTCTCTCTCACATCATATGATAGATAGATAATAGATGGGTATAGGTACAGATACATAGATATAATTTATCTCACTGATAATATTATTACTTTTCTGTATATAATTTCCCTGTGTAATGACTATGAATAATGTTATTTTTTAGCCATCATCCCATTCCACATAAGATCTAGTTGTTCCTTTAGAAAATACCTCTTGTTAATCCATTTATAAACAGAAAAGCATCATCTCCAATGGGTTTTGAATTTTGACAAGCAATTTTAAAAGTTAGCTATGTTGCTCTATAGAGAGTATTTATAAATGGCTGAGTGGGTATGGGAATGTTGAGGACCTGGACAGAATACTTAAGTGTGGTAAAGAAGAAATTATTCCCAAGAGCAATTCACATCTGATGTCATCCAGCATTCAAATACAGGTCATTATTAAAATTTTGTCAATGCATTGTCTTAACAATATATCAAATTAGAAATTTCACCTGTTAAGTTGTTAATGTTCTGAAGATGCCTGTGACAGTTAAAAACTAGCCATTCTTCAAGGTTTTATTTGTAGGTCAATAAAACCTTGAAAAATTTTATTGATTACTTATGTCCCCACATGATACAATAAACTCTCAACCCTCAGTCCCTCATAATGTGATCTAATTTGGAACTAGAGCCATTGTAGATGTAATCAGTTAGGTTAAAATAAAGTTATTCTGAATTAGGGTGGGCTTTTAATCTGATATGATTGGTGTCCTTATAAGGACAGGAGGAGAAACACCAAGAGGGTGAGACACAGGGAGTATACCATGTGATGACGCAGGCTGAGATTAGAGCTATCCCGCTGCAAACCAAGGAATGCCAAGGGTTTTCACAACAGACAGTAAGAAGAAATCAGAAACACATTCTCCTGATGAGGCTTCAGAGAGGGCACTGCCATGCTGACCTCTTGATTTTGAACTTTTGCTTTCAGAACTATGAGAAAATAAATTTCTATTGTTTCAGCCACACATTGTGTAGTAATTTGTTATAGGAGCCCTAGAAACTAATACAGTAGCCAACAATAATATTGCAGCTAGTTTGAGTCACATCTTCCTTGGAGTTTATGGGGATGCAGACCCTTAAAATATCAATAAACCCCTATACATTACAGTTTGTCTTATTTTGTTTTCTACTTTTGTTTCAGGAATATCATTAGAATTTGTTGGTAATATATAATACCTGACTTTACCTCCATAACCATCAATATTGAAAAATGAAACTGCAGTTTTGAAAACTCAGCCAATGGGTATCAATATAGTTGTTGAGGCAATGCCCATTATGTTTTCTTGAACATTTTTTCCTATTGGCCAATGCTCGTTTCACCTGTCATTACATATTTTGAATAACATTCATGGAAAGTATTATTAAATCTGTCATAGTTAAAACTAAAGGACAATGTTAGATAGTTAATTGACCATGAAATATTCAAGAAAACGTGGACTTTACAAAAACCCACACCAAACAATAACATGAAAAACAATCCTCTTGCATGGAGTTTCAAGTAATAACAGACTAACCTGGATCATGATTTTAACTGCAATGTGGCTATACTGAAAATGTCACTTGTATTTACATTAGTATATGTTTAAATATCTGTGAAATGTTATAAATATGTATCAGCAAAAAAAACACTAAAATTTGCTACAAAGAAGTTTGTAACATACACAATTATGAATTACTGAATAAATTAGTTCCAGCTACATCTTGATTAAAAATGCAAGTAAACCACGACAGAATAGCCAACTGGTAGTCAAAATATTTTCTCAATATGAGAGGAATAAAAAAATTTTGCACTGTTTGATTTTATTGAAATAGTCACCTTCAGATCTCTTAAATTAATTTAAAGTTGTTTGAGGTCATTAGTTTGTATTTCCTAGAAATGTTCAGAATTATAAGTTTTTTTTATAACATATATAAAGAAGTTTAGATTCTTTATTTTAGATGTCAGAAAAATTCTTTTTTGAGTCTTCTCATCCCTGTTATTTTCTTCATGATTATGGCAGTTAGCTGTGTGCTAGACCGACTACCCTGCTGTCGTGTTAATCAGAGGAGAGAAGCCCCTGCTGGGAGTTGTGGTAATTACAGTGGGATAGTTCATCTCTTTTTGAACTCTCTCTAGGTTTTCATTTCTCCTAACAGCAACAATAATACCAATTAAAAATGGATGTTAATTACAAAAGTTTAAAATATTCTCTTTAGAAGTTAATGTAATCTTTTCTACCAAAGAAATAGATACGTTTTTCTATTTCTGTAGCTCTTTTGTCCAGCTCTCTGAAGTTAAAAAAAAATATGTTTCAGTATAACTATGTTTATAAATGATAAATAAATGGTCCTTTATCCAGGGACATATTTTTCATTCTCATTTAGGCATATTTCGGACCCTAAAGCCATTTTAGTTATTAATAAATATACCTCCTATTACGCTTTATGGCTTATAAAATTGGCATCCTGTGTACAAAAAGACTGGGGTGTTTATTGAAGCTTTGAAAACCAATCTTTATTTATAGAGGGTTATTAAACATCAACTAGCTGATGTTTTCCAAGAATGACGAGTGCAAATATAATTTGATGTTAATGCATGTATATATCCATTGAGGTATTTCATCTAAACCTCTTTTTTATTGAAATTAAAATCATAAAGTACATGGCATTGCAAATAAATGTGAAAAATATTTATTAATAAAACTGTGACTCCAAAAATAATAAAATCAGCTTAAAAATCACAAATATATTAGTAACATATGTTGGTCATAGATAATGGAGAAAATTGGTAGTAAAATTGTGCCTAGAGGATGTGAATAGGAACATTATAAGAAAATCTTGTGCATTTTATATGCTTAATTTAAATGTAAAGCAGTAATTCTAAAACGGAACTACAATTTTTATTGGTTGTGTTCCCATTTAAATTTCATATTTTACTTTCCATAGAAAGTATTAAAATATCCAGAAAACATTCTCTAAAAGAATAAACACTTGTGACTTATAAGCACCAGATAAAATTCTAGCAATTATTCCATGAAATCTGGGACAAAGAAGCTAATTGAGTGTATTATTATAAAATTCTACGGGGAGAAACAACAAGCTAAGCAGTGCTGTCAAAGGTTTAGAATATCTCTACCCTTTTTAGGATTAATCTCTCTGGAAGCACAAGATCTAAAGCAAACCATGAAAGAAGAAATCATATTTTAAGTGCTAATGCATTGAAAGAGATTGTCATTTCTCTAATAACCATAGCATCTTTAAATATTAGATGATGAAAAAAGTGAGAGTTTTAAATTTAGTCCTCCATCAAATTCTTCTAAAATGCACTTACATATTTTAAATATAATAGGCTAAAATATGACTATATTGTTTAGAAATAACCTTATTTTATAAATTTTATATATTTTAATGGTATAAATAAATAATGCCAACTGTGGTATAATTTCTTAGAAATTTTTGATGTCCACATCTATTTAACTCTATGATGCTCTTTTGTTGATTCTAAGATTCTGTAGTTTTTGAAATTCAGAAGACATAGTTCAGGTTCTGAATGCATATTCAGATATACTTAAAACTGGATGAGTCATTGTCAATTTTTGAGTCCTTGTCTCAAAAATGAACTATTTGGGAAGGTCTGATCTCTCAATGTCCTACTAGATTACCAAAAATATCTTTGACAACCATAAACTTGATGGGGCAACTTAGAATCCCAACTTGGTATACTCTGAAGATCCCAAATACAACAATATTATGTTGTACTGGAGATGCAGTACAACAATGTGGCTTTCAGGAAGGTGATCTTTTTTATTTTTATTACTTTTTAGAAAAATGATTGTTCTCTGCTGCCAAGGCTGGAGTGCAGTGGCAGTATCATAGCTCACTGCAGCCTCAAACTCCTATGTTCAAGCCATCCTTCTGCGTCAGACTCCTGAGTAGCTAGGCCTACAGGCACAGGACACCACATCTGGCTAATTTTTATTTTTATTTTTGTAGAGATTGGGTCTTACTGTGTTGCCCAAGCTGATCTGAAACTGCTGGCCTCAAGTGATCCTCCTGCTCAGCCTTCCAAAGTGCTAGGATTATAGGTGTGAGCTTTTAGGAAATTAGTTAATTTGAGTCATAATTTTATCATCTATGGAAATTAAATGACATGGCCAGGTTTGGTGGCTCATGCCTGTAGTTCCAGCCACTTGGAAGGGTGAGAGGATCCCTTGAACCTGGGAGGTGGAGGTTGCAGTGAGCTGATATTGCACCACTGCACTGGAGCCTGAGCAACAGAGTGAGACCCTGTCTCAAAAAAGAAATAAAATAGGGTCAGAAACGGTGGCTCATACCTGTAATTGCAGCACTTTGGGAAGTTGAGGTGGGTGGATCACCTGAGGTCAGGAGTTTGAGACCAGCCTGGGTAGCATGGCAAAACTCTGTCTCTACTAAAAATACAAAAAAAAAAAAAAAAAAAATTAGCAGGGTGGGGTGGTGCATGCTTCTAATCCCAGCTGAAAGTTTATGGCCTGCTAAGACAATCAATTGTGACATGGTTGGGTGCCTGTACCCTTGCCTTTAAAGGGGACTTTGCCTCCAACAAAAGATGTTTTAAGACAAGAATTGTCCATGCAAAAGGGGGTTCCGATTCTGAAAAAAAACAAAAAAAATTGCAATAAGATAATGTATTAATAGAAGAGATAATATTAAGATATTGGAAAGACCACTTTACCCAGTGTAAAAAATAGTAATTGTTGAGAAAGCAGAAAATTGTCATGCTTTGGAAAACTCAGATCCAAGTCAGGATTTGATGCAAATTTATTTTTTAGATGACACCTTGAGGCCTGATTGATGCTTAGGAGATTACTATTTTACTAATACTGATCTGGACAATTTCCTGTTTTACCCTCTATTTTCACAAGCAAGCTACTTCAAATAATATTCCATCAGTGCTAGACTACATCCAACTGCAGCTTGCATTTAGGTTTACTGCAATCGCTCTTATGTCACCAATGCCTTCTTTTTTTTTTTTTTTTTGGAGTTTCGCTCTGTCGCCCAGGCTGGAGTGCAGTGGCGCGATCTCGGCTCACTGCAAGCTCCGCCTCCAGGGTTTATGCCATTCTCCTGCCTCAGCCTCCCGAGTATCTGGGACTACAGGCGCCCGACACCACGCCTGGCTAATTTTTTGTAGGTTTAGTAGAGACGGGGTTTCACCTTGTTAGCCAGGATGGTCTCGATCTCCTGACCTCGTGATCTGCCCCCCTCAGCCTCCCAAATTTTTCTATCTTAAATTTTATTTCAGCTTCTAACAAAACTGCAACAACCTACTGAGGCAGCGCTCCTGTTGTGGGGGCAATAGCTGTGGGGGGTCTGTTTGTCCCTTTCAGACCCCTGACCCGCCGATGGATGAATAAAGTACACTGACACACAGATATTCTGCTTGGCCAGTCCAGCTGAGGGTCCGAGGCCACTCACAGACTCCAAGGAGAGTGCTGTAAAGAATGGCAGCCGTAGCCCTGAGCAGCTCGCACTCCAACCATTTTAGTATAGAATTAACAACAGAAGCTTTGAGTAAACACACTTGTGGATAATTAACATGGTTAAGAGAGTAGTTCTATGAATGATTAAAGTCCAGGTACTGAGGTCTAAAGTAAATACCATAAGGGGGCAATTTTCCCGGTAGACCTCCCCCAGAGGGGGCCATCTGGCTCAAAGGTTAGTTAATGGAGGTTGGGAAAACAGACTTAACTGGGGAAGCCTCTATTGTCCCTAGCATTTACCCTATTGTGTCCGGAATTGGTGGGTTCTTGGTCTCACTGACTTCAAGAACGAAGCCGCGCACCCTCACGGTGAGTGTTACAGCTCTTAAGGTGGCGCGTCTGGAGTCTGTCCCTTCTGATGTTCAAATGTGTTCGGAGTTTCTTCCTTCTGGTGGGTTCGTGGTCTCGCTGGCTCAGGAGTGAAGCTACAGACCTTCGCGGTGAGTGTTACAGCTCCTAAGGCAGCGCGTCTGGAGTCGTTCGTTCCTCCCGGTGGGCTGGTAGTCTCGCTGGGCTCAGGAGTGAAGCTGCATATCTTCGCGGTGAGTGTTACGGCTCATAAAAGCAGCGTGGACCCAAACAGTGAGCAGTAGCAAGATTTATCGCAAACAGCGAAACAACAGTGCTTTCACAGTGTGGAAGGGGACCCCCAACGCGTTGCCACTGCTGGCTCTGGCAGCCTGCTTTTATTCTTTTATCTGGCCCCACCCACATCCTGCTGATTGGTAGAGCCCAGTGGCATGTTTTGACAGGGTGCTGATTGGTGCGTTTACAATCCCTGAGCTAGATACAAAGGTTCTCCACGTCCCCATCAGATTAGTTAGATAGAGTTTCCACACACAGGTTCTCCAAGGCCCCACCAGAGCAGCTAGATACAGAGTGTCGATTGGTGCACTCACAAATCTTGAGCTAAACACAGGGTGCTGATTGGTGTATTTACAATCCGTGAGCTAGACATAAAGACTCTCCATGTCCCCACCAGACTCAGGAGCCCAGCTGGCTTCACCTAGTGGATCCCACACCGGGGCTGCAGGTGGAGCCGCCCGCCAGTCCCGTGCCGTGCGCTCGCACTCCTCAGCCCTTGGGTGGTCGATGGGACTGGGCGCCGTGGAGCAGGGGGTGGTGCTCGTCCGGGAGGCTCGGGCCCGCACAGGAGCTCATGGAGTGGGTGGGAGGCTCAGGCATGGCGGGCTGCAGGTCCCGAGCCCTGCCCCGCGGGAAGGCAGCTAATGCTTGGTGAGAAATTGAGCGCAGCGCTGGTGGGCTGGCACTGCTGGGGGACCCAGCACACCCTCCGCAGCCACTGGCCCGGGTGTTAAGTCCCTCATTGCCCGGGGCCGGCAGGGCTGGCCGGCTGCTCCGAGTGCGGGGGCCCACCAAGCCCACGCCCACCCGGAACTCCAGCTGGCCCGCAAGCGCTGCAGGCAGCCCCGGTTCTCGCTCGCGCCTCTCCCTCCACACCTCCCCGCAAGCTGAGAGAGTGGGCTCCAGCCTTGGCCAGCCCAGAAATGGGCTCCCTCAGTGCAGTGGTGGGCTGAAGGGCTCCTCAAATGCCACCAAAGTGGGAGCCCAGGCAGAGGAGGCGCCAAGAGCAAGCGAGGGCTCCGAGGACTGCCAGCACGCTGTCACCTCTCAGTATGACCTAATGCTCTAAGGTAAGAACTGGTTGCCTTCAGCCTGTTCAATTACTACAGGCTATGTAACCTTTCGGCCTTCCAAAAAGGTTTGGGACTTTTCCCTATAACTTTTCTTAATATTTCCCTTTAGTATTTCTGCCAACATCCTGAGTGAATCCCAACAGCTTACAATGTTGAGGATTTCTGCTTTGAAACTCTCTACCTCTTTTGTTCCATGAAACCATTATCTCTCTATTTTTACCAGTTACTTTGACTGTTCCTTAGCAATTTGTTTAAGAACCTCTAAACTCTAGATGATCATGAAGCTGTTTAAAATCTGTATCCACACCTCTATGTGAACTCGTCCAAACCCATTTCTTCAAAGGCGAGTCATATACTCCTCATTCTCTGTATTCCACCTTGCTGAGGTACAGACCTAAATTTTGGCAGTGTATATGGAAGTATCCACTACTATCCACTATTCCCCCTTAGTTAACACATTCTTCAGGTTAAATCTGCTTTTCCACCTACACTTCTTTCCTAAATTAAAGACATTGCGGCCCTAGGGATAGGTTAAAACCTGGGCATTGTCCTAAAAATCACATTTTCATTTGCTCATCGCAGCCAGCCTGTCTCCCAGTTCTCTACATTCTACCAGCTAAATAGTATGACATCACCCTCTTTTTTAAAACTCCCAATGTTTTAGTTAGACCCTATTTTTTTTACCAAAACTATTGCATTTTAATACGTTCCTAACTCTTTTGCTCTCTCCAATCACCTCCCTCACAAATAGTGACTCAGCTGTTTGTATTTCCCTACATATGCCATCTTTTTTACAATTCAATAGCAAGTCGAGAAATAGGGTGATGGATAATAAAGATATATGACTGGAGTTACATGAATTCGAGGATGAATCCTGGCTCTCCATGTTATCTTTAATTGGGGCAAGGTTATTTCTCTGTGCTTCAGTTTCCTAATTTGTAAAGTGGGCATACGTATCTAATGAGGTTCTGATGTGTTATAAACAAAGAGTTTGGTACACACTGTTCATTAAGTTGATTTTTATCTGGGCCCTCCAACGACCTCTTATCAGCCACTCTTTTACTCATTTAATTATGAATTCATGAGTACCTACTATGTGTCAGACTTCACTAAAAATGGGAGGTCTAAATATTTCTATATTTCCTTTGATTGTCTTTCTACTTTTGACACATCTGATTCAAATGTTTTTGCCATGTTATCTGTCTGAAAGCCTGTATTTGAAGACTCACTGAGGAATGTCGCATACATTTTCTTCCTCCCAAACTTAAGAAAAGTTATTCAGATTAGCTTTAGTGCAGCTTGTATACATATTTATTATGATATTCATTACTTAATTTCAATTTATTTATTTCTTCTTATTATTAGATAATGAACTTTTGGAGTACAGAGCCCATATCTCATCATTTCTTTAGCTACCTACCAAAAATAGCACATAATAAACAATTTAAAAAGAAAATATTCTCTCAGATATTTTAATTCATATACTTACATTTCTGTAAACATATTTTAGTAAGCTGTCTACTAAAGCCATTTAAAAATATTGATAAAAAACTAAAAAAAGTTCTTAAAATTTATTTTAGCGGAAAAGGGATTTCCATGAAAAAATTAAATTGCAACATAGTAGTCATTGTGTATTTGACTAATTAATAGTTCAGATAATAAATTCCATAAGAGTTCAGGGTAGAGAAGCATCAGTGTGGGTTACTTCATTTAAGTGAAATTTCCATGGCGAGTTTAACTTTAATGAGAGGAGAGAAAAGTCAAGGGCTTTCCAGGTGGTAGGAATGAAGTAAGTCATGGAGCAGAGGCAGGAATCTGTGGCATATTTTATGGGGAAAATATTAGATCAATTTTTGAAAGTAAAGAATTCACTTACAGAAGTAGTGAGTGGTCAATTTGGAGATATACAGACTGGCTTATGAGGGGTTTGAAGGCCAGTACTTCAGTGCGGCTGTATGATTTAGGTAGCAGAGTCATGAGACTTCATTCAGGAGGTGGAAGGAGGTACACAGCATTGTGTTACAACAGTTAGTTGGCCTGTGAGTTAGTTAAGGATTTACCTTATAGGTTTCTACATATCTGGAGAAATCAGTCAAAAGCCTATTGTGATCGTCTTACTATAAAATAATGAGGACGCAATGTAGATTTTTTGCATAGTCTTTAGTCTTCTTGTGAATTTAATTTCTTATTCATGCCAAAGTGACTGCAGTATCTTCAGGTAAAATATAAGAAGTTTCTTTGAAATGCATATACTTTCCATAATTATATTCTATTTATTTCCAAAAGATACCTGAAATGTAGTGAATTAAATTCATATAAATTCTAGAGAATTTACATAATAATTGTTTTCTATAAATAATATTTGTATTTATCATTCATTAAATATTTAAATTATTATTATACTGTAGAAGAGAGAAAATGAATGGAATAATTTCTGCTTTTGCAATGTTTACAATCTATCAGCAAGGCAGTCAAATTTATCACTATAATATCAAAAGTAATGAGTGGAGAATATTTTAAGGGTTTATTGAAAACAAGTCTCATGGGAGTATAATTTTGGAAGAAATAATCGAGGTAAGTGCTTCTGAAAAGATTTCATGTAGGCTTTGTTCTGAAGTAGGTATAAGATTTTGAGTCATACAGATGGCACCGAGGGTAAGAGTGTCAAATAAATAGAGACAGAAGAAACATATGCATGTTGGGAAATGGGCAGGGAGTCCACTGTGGTCCAAATAAAGGATGAAAGGAGAAGTGTCCTGATAAGCAAGAAGGTATAGCTGACTATGGTCAAGTCAGTGGGGCATGTGTGTGTGTGTGTGTATGTGAATTTGTATGTGTGCTTGAGGAGCCAGAATTTAAGTATTTTTATTGAATTTCAATGTTATTTTGGAGGGAATAGGGACTCATGCAGGTAGAAGAAGAACAAAACAAGAGACTACTAGTGATGTGCCAGGACCAGATCACAAGCATAGCGAGGAGTTTGGACTCTGATGTTCATCAAGATTTTTTTTTTTTTTTTGCTTGACCAAACTTTAATCAGAACTTTGAAAATCCTCTGTGCATTTCCTTGTAAAATTCAGTTTTATTAAGAACCTTGCTAGATCAGTTGAGCAAGAATTTCTACCTTTGATATATGATCATCCTTGGTATTGGATGTGGTTTTTCATTCTCCACCATCCCCCAGGTAATATCCGATCACTCTAGCCTGTCTTCAGCTGGAATCCTCCTAGGTCAGTTTAGCCAGAATACCCCTGACCTCTGATATTTCCTCTTAGTAATTTTCTATCCACTGAACTTCACCCTGTCCTTGGCTATAAATGACCACTTAGTCATGCTGTATCCTCATTGCCCATACTTAGTGAAACCCAGTCTCTCTTCCCCACTGCAAAATCCCATTGCAGTGGTCTCTATACTTACCACTCTGAACTGAATAGTCTTTCTTACTGGGCTTTCACAAGAATCATTGTTATCACAGTGAATACCTATTTTCTTTTTTCCTTTTGACTTTTTTTTTTTTTTTTTTTTGAGATAGGGTATCACTCTGTCACCCAGGCTGGAGTACAGTGGCCTAAACATGGCTCACTGCAGCCTCAATTGCCTGGGCTAAAGTGATCCTCCTACCTCAACCTCTTACATAACTGGGACCACAGGTGCACACAACTATGCTCAGTCAGCTTTTTTATTTTTTGTATAAATGGGGTCTCATTGCATTGCACAGGCTGTTCTAGAATTCCTGGGCTCAAGTGGTCCTTCTGCCTTACCCTCCCGAAGTGCTGGGATTACAGGCATGAGACACCAAACCTGGCCATTTTTATTTTTTTTTTAACAATGTAAGCATCAGGAAGTCACTGGAGATTTTTGAACAGAAGGATGACACAGCGTATCGGATATTCGTTTTAGGGAAATAGCTATGACAGAAAAATGTAAGATAGTTTACAAATGGAAGATAGAGAAAAGACTAGGTGGCCACTTACATTTGCGTAATAATTTGAATGAGACGTGAAAGAGGTGTAAGGCTCTGTGTCCCACTGAACACAACGTAAGGATGCATACAAAAATATGAACTGGATTCTAATAAGTAAATTCTGGTCATACAATTCAAAATCAAATACTGTCTTTTTTTAAATCAATCAATGTAACAGCACAATATTTTTTCAGGTACTGGACAGAAATTTAATATTAAACATACAGCCATTATTAAAAAGTTTAGATATTCTTCACTTTGTCAATGAGAAAATCTTTAGAAACAATTTCTGTAAAATATGTCTGTTTAAAAACTATATTTACTAACAAATGAAGTAAAAGTTTTAATTTCTAATGTTTATAAATCATAACTTTAGAAATACTGAAAATTTTATAACAATTGAACAATTTGTCCTTGTAGGTCAAATTCTTTCATTGATTCTTCCAGTGAACAATTTGTCCCTGCAGGTCAAATTCGTCAATTGAGATCAAGCCCTGCAGGTCAAATTCAAATTGTATTTATTTATTTATTTTAAAATAGTTATCAACAAGAAATTTAATCATTTTATTATTTATTACAAAGAAAATGTTCTAATTTTTAAAAAAATTTGTATTATACAAATGCATAACAGATTTTTCAGCAGCAACATTGCATGAAAGTTAACAATAAAATACATTTTTTGCCCCTGGTTTGGTTATTTCAGCACCTCACCAACATAATGCAAGACAGAGTTTCTATGTAACATCGTGCTCACCATATTTGGCACGCTGGCATTCCCTTTTAGGCTTGTTACCCTCATGACACCAAAATGGCTGCTGCAGCTTTGGGCTTTACCTGCATTTGGAAATCTTTTGTTTGTTTGTTGTTTTTTTACTTTAAGTTATGAGATACATGTGCAGAATGTGCAGGTTTGTTTCATAGGTATAAATGTGCCATGGTGGTTTGCTGCACCCATCGACCCATCACCTGAGGTTCTCTCTCTCTTTCTTTCTTTCTCTCTCTCTCTCTTTCTTTTTTCTTCCTTCCTTCCTTTCTTTCTTTCTTTCTTTCTTTCTTTCTTTCTTTCTTTCTTTCTTTCTTTCTTTCTTTCTTTCTTTCCTTCTTTCTTTCTCTTTCTTTCTTCCTTTTTCTTTCCTTCCTTCCTTCCTTCTTTCTTTCTTTTCTTTCTTTCTTTCCTTCCTTCCTTCTTTCTTTCCTTTCTTTCTCCTCCTTCCTTCCTTCCTTCCTTCCTTCCTTCCTTCCTTCCTTCCTTCTTTCTTTCTTTCTTTCTTTCTTTCTTTCTTTCTTTCTTTCTTTCTTTCTTTCTTTTCTTTCTTTTCTTTCTTTTCTTTCTTTCCTTCTTTCCTTCTTTCCTCTTTCGATGGAGTCTCGCTCTGTCACCCAGGCTGTAGTACAGTGCTGCAATCTGGGCTCACTGCAACCTCTTCCTCCCAGGTTCAAACAATTTTTATGCCTCAGCCTCCTGAGTAGCTGGGATTATAGGCATTTGCTTCCACACCCAGCTATTTTTTAATTTTTTTTATTTTTAGTAGAGACGGGGTTTCACTGTGTTGGCCAGGTTGGTCTCAAACTCCTGACCTTATGATCCTCCTGCCTCAGCCTTCCAAAGTGCTAGGATTACAGGTGTGAACCACCACACCCATCCAGTTTTAAGCTCCTCATGCATTAGCTATTTATCTTGATGCTCTCCCACCCCTTGCCCCCCAACCCTGCCACTGACAGGCACCAGTGTGTGTGTTGTTTCCCTCCCTGTGTTCATGTGTTCTCATTGTTCAGCTCCCAGTTATGAGTGAGAAAATGCGGTGTTTGGTTTTCTGTTCCTGTGTTAGTTTGCTGAGGATGATGGTTTCCAGCTTCATCCATATACCTGCAAAGGACATGATCTCATTCCTTTGTATGGCTGCGTAGTATTCCATGGTGTATATGTACCACATTTTCTTTATCCAGTCCATCATTTATGGCCATTTGGGTTGGTTCCATGTCTTTGATAATGTGAATAGTTCTGCAATAAACATATGTGTGCATGTATCTTTATAATGGAATGATATATGTTCATTTGGGTATACACCCAGTAATGGGATTGCTGGGTCAAATGGTATTTCTGGTTTTAGATCCTTTAAGAATCTCCACATGATCTTCTGCAATGGTTGAACTAATTTACATCCCAACCAACAGTATAAAAGCATTCCTATTTCTCCTCAGCCTTGCCAGCATCTCTTGTTTCATAACTTTTTAATAATCACCATTCTGATTGGCATGAGGTGGTATCTCATCGTGGTTTTTATTTGCATTTCTCTAATGATCAGTGATGTTGAGCTTTTTTTTAATGTTTGTTGGCTGCATATATGTCTTCTTTTGCGAAGTGTCTGTTCATATCCATTGCCCACTTTTTGATTTTTTTTTTCTTGTAAATTTGTTTAAGTTCCTTGTAAATTCTGGATATTAGGCCTTTGTCAGATGGGTAGATTCCAAAAATTTTCTCTCACTCTCTAGGTTGCATTTTCACTTTGATGATAGTTTCTTTTGCTGTGCAGAAGCTCTTGAGTTTAATTAAATCCCATTTGTCAATTTTAGCTTTTGTTGCAATTGCTTTTGGTGTTTCAGTCATGAAGTCTTTGCCCATGCCTGTGTCCTGAATGGTATTGCCTAGGTTTTCTTCTAGGGTTTTTTATGGTTTTAGGTCTGATGTTTAAGTCTCTAATCCATCTTGAGTAATTTTTGTATACGGTGTAAGGAAGGGATCTAGTTTCAGCTTTCTACATATGGCTAGCCAGTTTTTCCAGCACCATTTATTAAATATGGAATCCTTTCCCCATTGCCTGTTTTTGTCATGTTTGTTGAAGATGAGATGGTTGTAGATGTATGGTCTTATTTCTGAGTTCTCTGTTCTGTTCCATTGTCTATGTGTCTGTTTTGGTACCAGTACCATGCTGTTTTTGTTACTGTAGCCTTGTGGTATAGTTTGAAGTCTGGTAGCATGATGCATCCATCTTTCCTCCTTTTGCTTAGGATTGTCTTGGCTATACAAGGTCGTTTTTGGTTCCATATGAATTTTAAAATAGTTTTATCTAATTTCATGAAGAATATCAATGGTAGTTTGATGGGAATAGCATTGAATCTATAAACTACTTTGGGCAGTATGGCCATTTTCATGATATTGATTCTTTCTATCCATGAGGGTGAAATGTTTTTCCATTTGTTTGTATCCTCTCTTATAGTCTTGAGCAGTAGATTTTAGTTCTCCTTGAAAAGGTCCTACATGTCCCTTGTTAGCTGTATGCCTAGATATTTTATTCTCTTTGTAACAATTGTGAATGGGTGTTCACTCATGATTTGGCTCTCTGCTTGTCTATTGTTGGTGTATAGGGATGTTTGTGATTTTTGCACATTAATTTTGTATCCTGAGACTGCTGAAGTTGCTTATCTGCTTAAGGAGTCTTTGGGCTGAAATTATTGGGTTTTCTAAATATAGAATCATGTCTTCTACAAACAAAGATAATTTGATTTCCTCTTTTCCTTTTTCAATACCCATTATTTCTTTCACTTGTCTGATTGCCCTGGCCAGAACTTCCAATACTGTGTTGAATAGGAGTGGTGAGAGGGGGATCCTCATCTTGTGCCAGTTTTCAAAGGGAATGCTTCCAGCTTTTGCTCATTCAGGATTATATTGGCTGTGGCTTTGTCATAAATAGATCTCATTATTTTCAGATATGTTCCATCAATACCTAGTTTATTGTGAGTTTTTATCATGAAGGGATATTGAATTTATCAAAGGCCTTTTCAGTATCTATTGAGATAATGAAGCGGTTTTTGTCATTGGTTCTGTTTATGTGATGGATTACATTTATTGATTTGCATATGCTGAACAAGCCTTGCATCTTGGGAATGAAGCCAAATTGATAGTGGTGGATAAGTTGTTTGATGTACTGCTGGATTCGGTTTGCCAGTATTTTATTGAGGATTTTCACATTGATGTTCATCAGGGATATTGGCCTGAAGTTTCCTTTTTTTTGTTGTGTCTCTGCCAGGTTTTGGTATCAGGATGATCCTGGCCAGAAATATGGAACGCTTCATGAATTTGCGTGTCATCCTTACACAGAGGCCATGCTAATCTTCTCTGTATCGTTCCAATTTTATATATGTACTACTAAAGTGAGCACTCAAATTTTAATTTTTTAGTGGTTTTATTTTTTATAAAAAATTTATTTTACTTCTCCCAATGAATAGGTGTTCATTTCAAGATACACTGCAGTCCATTATTGTCGACACTTCAACCTTACTAGCCATTGCCTTCTTCAAGTGGCATAATTTGTTATACCGTAAGTGCAAGGTCACTTATGTTCAGACAATTGTAGATATGTTTCCATATATCGATTCATGTAACTGTTAAATTAAGTTTAGCCTAAAGCAACCTCCTTGTAAGTTCAGCTTAAAAGTTCCTACATACATAGTGAACTGTAACTTGAAGTGGATGTTTAAACAGACTGTAACCTATTCTTGTACAAATCACCAAGTTTCAGCCAAAAGTGATGAACTGTTACAACAGTGTTAGCATAAGACAAATGCCAGGCTGTAACCAATCTAACTGTTTCTGTTCCTCACTTCCATTATCTGTAAGGGGAGTGTGGTGGTGGTGCTCAATTCATGAATTGTTCTTTGCTCAGTTAAACTCTGTTAAGTTTAATCTGTCCAAAGGTTTTCTTTAACATAACACATTCCCAAAAAGGAAAAATTATATGTCTAGATTCATATTTTGAATTTACAAACAATAATTTTACTCATTAACCCCACTGAAATTTATTTTTGTTTCTATTATCATTTCTGGTATGTCAGACTCATATTTTGCTGAACGTATGTGGTATGATCAATCTGAAAATAATACTTTCGATTCCCTTTGACTTCATATGTCAGAGGCGTTTGAACCAGAGGAACTCCATCTTGAATAGGAGCTGGGTAAAATACGCCTGAAATCTACTGGGCTTCATTCTCAGATGGTTAGACATTCTAAGTCACAGGATGAGATTGGAGATTGGCACAAGATACAGGTCATAAAGACCTTGCTGATAAAACAGGATGCAGTAAAGAAGCTGGCTAAAACCCCCCAAAACCAAGATGGCCACAAGAGTGATCTCTGGTCATTCTCACTGCTTCCACCATCACAAATGCTATGGCAGCATCAAGAAGTTACCCTATATGGTCTAAAAAGGGGAGGTGTGAATAATACATCCCTTGTTTAGCATATAGTCAACAATTAACCATAAAATAAGCAACCAGCAGCCCTTGGTGCCGTTCTGTGGAGTAGCCATTCTTTTATTTTTTTACTTTCTTAATAAACTTGCTTTCACTTTACTCTATGGACTTGCCCTGGATTCTTTCTTGTGTGACATCCAAGAACCCTCTCTTGAGGTCTGGATCAGGACCGCTTTCCTGTAACACATATATCAGAACAATTTCCTGTTACCTAAGTTTCAACTTTTGGTTGTAGTATATTTGAGTACAAATATCCAGGGACAAATTCTCAATTGAATATATCTGAGAGACAAATTGTCCAATGATCGAATATTTTAAAGCTCTTAGAAGGTGAAGTATCACTGTAGTTCAAACACATATGAAGTCTTAGTATTTCTTTTAAGGATATGTTCTTCTAGTCTAACTTCAGTTGGTGATATATTGTTTATATTTCAACTGTAAAATATGAGAATTATATTTTTATTATAGAAATTTCAATAATTTTACATTCTGAGTGTATTCAAATGTTAAAAGAATTAAATTAGAACTATGTCCAATAAAAGTGGAGATAATTTTATAAATAATATATTCTATTATTTATAAGTGAGAATGGACTATACAGACAGTGGGACTCCAAACACATCAATCAAAATATGACTGTTGGAGACCAGAATATGCCACCCTAAAAAGTGCTTCTTAGGCATATTGATTATTTTGAGCTGGTTACTCTGAGAAACAGACACAGAAGTCACTCTGAAAATTTGTCTTTCTGTAAGAGAAATTTACATCAAAAAAGATAATTTCTGTTTGTAGGGGTGTCTTCCTCTCTGCACCAGGAATTGAGAAATGACTGAATGAAGAAGGCATGGAATTAAATCTGCATAACAAACCATGCCTTTGTTAAAGGGGATTTTCCTCATCATTTCATCTTAACCAGGTCTTTCCCCGCACACTTTTTTCTTTTAGGTAATGATGATATTTAAGTCTAAAGTTTAAAAGTATTCTTTGAGATATACTTTATAAAATTACTCACCTTCTGGTGTCTCCCATGTATATATTAACTATAAATGTTAATAAATGTTATTTGTTTTTCTCCTGTTAATTTGTGTTTTTTCACAGAAAACCCAGTAAAAAACTATGAAGGGTACAGAAAAAAAAAATGTTTTCCCCTATACAGATAGGGGTTGCAATATCCCTTAGCTAACTGCTACTGTTAGTGATGAGAATATTTGGGCTATGTGTCTAAATAACATACCCAGGCCACTTGTTTAACTGATGCCCCAGAACCAGGACTAGATCCTCAGACTTAACTCTTATTCTATTTTTCTTTCACTACATCATTGAGCTCTCTTATGTTTTAAAGTACCGTAATGCCAACTATCGTTTAGTTGGTATTAGTTTAGTATCTTTGCTTTGATTTACAGAATTAGTAAAGTTTAAAACAATGCTTTTTTTCCAGTTTTTCTCATTAGAAATACTATGATGATACTGTTTGTTTTATAAGAGTGCAGTCTTAGTCTTAATTTTATTATTAAGATAACATTTTAATTAGAAAAGTTTATCAAATCTTAATCTAAAAGAGTAAAAAAGTTTACATAAAAAACACAGCTTTAATTTTTTTTTTTATTTCAGTAAATCAAATTGTTATAGTAGGTAGCTGGTCAGAATGAGCAGGGCAAGAAAGGGCTCCCCAACTCCACATGCACCAGGCATGTCAGGCCACCAGGCAGTTGTTAACTGTCTCTCTACAATAATAATTGATCACAGCCAGCACCAGGGAAAGGCAGTCTCCCAGTGACGGAAAACACCTGAAACTGGTGATGAGCAGCTTCCTGATAAGATCTCTGGATTTGGGCAAGCGGGCTCAAGCATGCACATTAAAATGCAAAATGGCAGATTTCTACTTGCATATGACCTCCTAGGGATATTTGACTGATGAGGAAGAATGCCTCAAGTAAGCATACGTACAACTCCAGTAAACACACTGTGGGTGCTCCCTTTCCAAGTGCTCATAGGACACTGTGCATGGGTGCAGCCCACCCTAAGGGAAGAATCAGTGGACAAGGGATGCAAGACCTTGAAGTATATGCCAACATATAAAATCCTAAGTCAAAGGGCAAATCGTGCACTTGTCTTTCAACTCAGCTGCTTAGCCTTCTTCCAAGTGTACTTTGCTTCCTTTTGTTCCTGCTCTAAAGCTTTTTAATAAACTTTCACTTTTGCTCTAAATCTGGCCTTGGTCTCTCCTCTGCCTTATGCCCCTCAGTCAAATTCTTTCTTCTGAGGAGAGAAGAACTGAGGTTCCTTCAGACCCATATGGATTTGCCACCAGTAACATACTTCGGTGCTGTGTGAGTTGGATAAATTCTGCTGCTAACAAAATGTTGTCAGATGATACTCAAAAATCTTTTCCTTGTCTTCAATTAGTTAGTTATCTGGTTTTAACTGCCTTAGAAGAGATTTCAGAGATTTTAGTTTTCTTAACATTAAAAATAATTTCAGTTGAGAGGCCATTAGGCTGAGACAGCTCCCATGTCTTGAATTCCTACATAAATAAGCTGAAGCCCAATGTGAAGATTGAAATGAAACGTAAGATATACCTGTCAGAAACTGACAATTGTCCTCTAACTAAGGACTTTCCACAGGATTATACCTAAAATAAACAAATGCCTGGCTATAGCCAATCAAGTAATTTCTTTACCTCATGTCTACATTCAGCTTATAAAATGTCACTCGTTCATGCTGCTAAAGTGGAGCTCTCTTAACCTCTTCTGGTCCTGAGTGCTGCCTGATCCATAAATTGTTCTTTGCTCAAGTAAATCCTGTTAAATTAATATGTCTAACTTTTTTTTAACTTGAGTATTTGTTTCTTCTTATAAATAAATGAGTTTTAAAAATATATTTTAATAATATGCTTTGCAACCAGTGCTTATGATGTTTCCATATTTAAAATACTTAGAATGTAAAGAACAAAAAATTCCCATACATTTTATCCTTATTCAAGGAACCTTCAGTAATATACCACAAAAAATAGCAGTGACATGTGTATAGGGACTTATAGGCCTAGACTTTTCCAGGAGTACCGTAAGAATAACTCCTATTTTTTATTGTTTGATTTTAGCTGTTGATCATTTTTTAAAATAATATGCATTGACTGAATAACTCTGAGTTAGATATGCTGACTGAATTTCCACTAAAATATTTGTACAAATTTGATGAATTAGATAACTAACAGGTAGCTGCTTCTATGTCTTCTCTGAGTTTTAAAGATGTTAAATACATTGTGAATTTAAAGTTTCCAGAGGAATATGGTAAAATTTAAAATCTCAAAATTAGTTTGAAAGCTAATATCCTTGTCCTGAACAGCTTGTGTTTAAAACTGTATTCTGATTTTTCAATACCTTTTAAACTGATTTTAGAGTTCATAAGTCATTTTTGTATTTTTTGTTTTGGAACTTTTCTGTCCTCATCATTAATGATATTCTCTTTTATCTGTCTCATCCTACTTTCCTACTGGGAGATTTTTGTTTTTAAACAAAGTTTTTATGGTGGTTGGGGTGGTCCCTTTCCATCTTCTCCTGACTCCAACCCCTACAATTTTCTTTGGAAAACAGTATAACCAGTAAATTCCTTATTTATTTATTTATTTATTTATTTATTTATTTATTTATTTATTGAGGTGGAGTTTTGCTCTTGTCACGCAGGCTGGAGTGCAATGGTATGATCTCGGCTCACTGCAACCTCCGCCTCCCAGGTTCAAGCAATTCTTCTGCCTCAGCCTCCTGAGTAGCTGTGATTACAGGTGCCCTCCACCATTCCGGGCTAATTTTTGTATTTTTAGTGGAGATGGGGTTTCACCACATTGGCCAGGCTGGTCTCAAACTCCTGACCTCAGGTGATCCACCAGCTACAGCCTCCCAAAGTGCTGGGATTACAAGCCCAATTCATTTTATATCTTTTTTTTTTTCTGCTTTTTTTTTGACGGAGTCTCGCTCTGTTGCCCGGGCTGGAGTGCAGTGGTGTGATCTTGGCTCACTGCAACCTCTGCCTCCCGGGCTCACGCTATTCTCCTGCCTCAGCCTCCCAAGTAGCTGGGACTACAGGCGCCTGCCACTATGCCTGGCTAATTTTTTTTTTTTGTACTTTTTTAGTAGAAACGGGGTTTCACCATGTTAGCCAGGATGGCCTCCATCTCCTGACCTCATGATCTGCCCGCCGGGGCCTCCCAAAGTGCTGGGATTACAGGCATGAGCCACTGCGCCCAGCCTGTTTTATATCTTGAAAGTCTTACCTAATATAAAGAGAGAGAAGCAAATTGGTCACTACTATTAAATTGTTATTAACAGGATCTCAAGAATGTTATTTCATATTTTTAATACTATTAACAGAAGAGCTCAGTTTCAACAGTTTTTGAATTAAGCAATGCAATAGATCAAGGGCATCTCCAACACTAGGTTGAGGCTCTGGGTAGGGTCTGAGTAATTTCTGGAGAAAGAAACATGCCAGCTCCATTCACTAACCTGAGGTTGTTGGTCCAGGGGCCACATAACCAGCTCATCTGAACCAGTATCACTCCATATAATGAGACAAATAAGTAGGAAATGACAAAATATGACAAAATATTTTTAAATTCTGGAAGCTTAAACTGTGTATACACACACACACACACATATACACACACACATAGTTATATTTCACATATATTTCATTATATTTATATATTCCATTGTGTGTGTATATATTTATATAATGGTAATTATTTGAGTATAATTACCTACTTTACTGTTTAACAATATCTTTTCTACTTCCTAGATCAGAAGGTGTATTGGTTCTCTAAGGCTGCCGTGACAAAATACAACAGTATGATTGGCTTAAGCAATATATATTTAAGTATATATTAAGTATATATTATGTATATATACTTAATGACTGGAGGCTAGAAGTCCAAGATCAAGGCAGTTTTATTCTGATGCCTCTCTTCTGGGCTTCCAGATGTCTGTCTTTTTGATATGTTCACACATGGTCTTCCCTCTGTGTGTGTGCATCCTAGATGACTCTTTGTATGCCCAAATTTCCTCTTATAAAGGGCACCAGTCAGATTGGATGAGCATCCCTAAATGGCCTCATTTTAACTTAATCGCCCCGTGAAAGGCCTTCTCACTAAATACAGTCATACTGTGAGGTACCTGGAAATAAACCTGAAATGTAAGAATTTCTGGGGTAATTCACAAAGCATTGAGCCTGAAGTCAGAATGTCTGAATAAAATAGCTTCATTGCATGTATTATGCAACTCAACTGGCCCCTGGTTCCTAATCTATTATACGGAAATAATAATATCTACCTTAAGGTAATTATTATATGATTTTATATATATATATATATATATATATATATATATATAAAATGTCTACCAAACTACCTTCTCTGTATTGGTAATACATTTAGTGAATGTGCATATTATATCATAATCAATGTCTATTTTTTTCACATTCTAAGTTTAAGGAAATAATTTGATAGAAAATGAAAAATTTAAATTAAATATCTTCACTTTGCGTTTGCAAGCAACACATTTTTTGTGAAGAATATATTTGAGCATAATATATTAAATGTGTCCTAAAATTATTATAGCATTTTTAAACCGCTCCAATTTAAACACTCCAGTTTTATTTAGCCCTCCATAAAGCTTTTGTTCATGCATCATTGATTTATGGACAGTTGTCACAAACAGGATAGGCCCATATGTTAAAAGCACTTGCCATTTTTTTGTGACTGCCCTCAATCAGATTTAGCAGATTAATGATTGTAGTCCTCTGCCATCCTGATTTTTGACTACAAGGTTTTAATAACTATCCCACTATTTCAGCTTTGTCTCTTAATCTAAATCATTAATCTCTTTAGGACTCATTATAGCTTCTTTTTTACACATATTCATCTGCATTCAACTTGTATGTCTTTTGTAATATTCCTTTTCTATAATGTATGTTCATAGCAAAGTATTTCTATTAATTCATATGTTGATGTATTGTTACATTGCTTCACTTTAAATATCTCACCCCCATCACCCTGCACTTCTCAGTTTCACTATTTTAAATGTTTTAACCTCTTTTAGGTCTTTGTAATGTCCTTCCATATAAGATCAAGTACAGTAGGTTGACTGTATTTTCTAGTTCAAATTAAAAAACCATTTGTTCAGCTTGACTTATGCTTAGTGACAGCTCTGTGTATTTTTCACTGTGATGTGAATACATGAAGGACACAGCCTAGAAACTTAGTGCATTATACTCCATCTGCATAGTGAGGTAAATGTGACTGCGGTAATTACTGCCACCTAAGTTTTTATTTCTTTTTTCATTAAAGGTGTTATCATGCCAGGGACAAAATAAATAATACCCAATACCTGGCTTTTATTAGTTTCTGTCTTTGTTAAATGTGAATGATGTGAATGGCAATAAGGAAGGCTATAAAGAAATCATAAATAAAACATTAGCGCATTTTTGTAATAGCGCAGGTGTAAATGTCACTAATGAAGTAAGAATAAATATGTGATGTTAATTACTCTGCTTTACCTAACTATGAAATGTGAAAGCAAATGTAGTGCTTGGCAAGAATGAAAACAGAAAAATCAAATATGTTGTTTTTATTTCCCTGGGAAATACTCATTTTTTGTTTATTTGCCAAACAAAGAGTAGTTTATATTGCAGGTTAGGTCATATGTTAGATCTGTTTTATAGAGCAATATTCTATATACATTAAGTTACATATGGCTCTTATACCAGCTGGTCCTAAACAGAAACATATGTGTGTGTGTGTGTGTGTGTGTGTGTGCGCTCTCATGCAAGCACACTTTTATATACATACATATGTACATGTATATATGTATATGCTGTTTTTATATATGCATATACTGTCTATATATACACACACTGCTTTTGCATATGCATAAGCACACACATATATAAATGTACACATAAGTACTATATTATAAAATATGTCTTTCTATCTGTTTCTTCCGGGTGAAATAGTCAGCACATAATACTTCATGAGTACTTCATTGTCCCTTATTCTACACATTCTTTCTGCTGTGGGTCAATTGCTCTTTTATAACTTGCCAAGAACGGGGAGAGCTAAGTGTGTTAGAATTATATTTAACCATGTGTAAGAAAGCCAGAAATTAAGACAAAAAATATAAGTTCATGAACTTTAACAATAATTTTTAAGAGTTCATTGTTTTGAAATGGTTTGTTTGTTCATTTGTTATGTTCTAAAACAGAAAAAGAATGTGTTGTTGAAGTTCATGGCTCACTTCATAATTTTTGTTAGTATGGGTTGAAGAGATAGACTGTTATACTAACCACCTCACCATTAGATAGAATCAACAGCACAGAACTCAGAATTTAATGATTCCTCCCAGAATTTCCTCTAATAATCATTCACACTTCTCTGCTCATTGAATGTTATTGCATCCAGAAGAAACAATTTCATATATCTCACTCTGCATGCTTTACATTTATGCTCTGTCTTATATACAGAAGTAGAAATAATTAAGCTAGTTTAGCTTTATATAACTGAAAGTCCTCATTTTACAGACAACTGATCTTTGAATCACAGAGAATAATTGACTCTCCAATTTCACATAGCCACCAAATTTCAAAATCAGAATTCAAATAGGAATTCAACACTTCATTTTCCACCTCAGCTTCAATGCTCACTTGTTCCAAAAACTCTCTCCAGGTTACTCAGATGTGATTTCTCAACCCATCTATTTGGATCCTATAAACACATTCTACCTTAAATTAATCTTTGTTTAAGGGCATCTAGAACAGTGGCACAGGTCACTTTAATTGAGTGGCAATATTTATTGTTTAGTTTTTTGAAATGTGAATTTGCTATATTTAAGAGAAAACAAATCTTATTTTATAAAATAAAGGTTTCCCATAATTGAATTGAGAAAAAATTATGCTTTCTAAAGTAAATATTTATTACAGCAAATGAAATGTGTTTCTTCATGAAAGTATTTATTCATATGTTTGTCGTGCTGAAAAATTTAAATCACACTACCTATTATTTCTAATTAAATTATTTTAAATATTAAGCAAGACCAACATCACTGGAAATAATAAAATAAGGTACTATGAAAATCAACATGACTCACATAAAAACTACTAAGATTAGAGGATTTGATTAACTTACTGAAAAAAGAGCAAGATATACAGTCCATAGTTAGCTAGAAATTTAATTAGTTTAAAAATCCTATTCACAATCATAACAGAAATCCATAAAATTACTTAGAAACACTATTCATAAAAGGGATGAAGTATATAGATAAAACTGTGAAAATACCATTAAAATACAATGAAATTCAGAACAGAGATAAATAATTATTATTCATAGAGATTTAAATATCCAAATGTTAGTAACTGCAAAAAGGTAATTTATAAACACAATGCATAATGCAATTCAAATTTTTAAAATAAAAATAGTTTTAATTTTTTTATGATAGAATACATTTCCAAGACATTAATATATTATTTTGAAAATAACAATTGCACTTATGAAAATATTTTGCAATATATAGTGGAGTGGATGTTTATAGTCTACAATCCAGCCACTCTACCTCTAGTTATAATGCAAAGGAATTCTCATACATTTGCAAAAATAAACAAAGAATGTTTAAGACATGAGTAACAACATAGTTTACTAGAGCAATATATTGGAAACAAACTCTGTGTCAATCAAAAACAAAATGGGTAAATAAATTATGGGTATATCCATAGAATAAAATACTACACATAGACAAATGCTGTATATATAAACTAGATTACATTGGTGAAAATCTTAAACCTGATGTTGAGAAATAGAAACAAATTCCAAAAGAACACATAAAACAGCAGTCCCCAATCTTTTTGGCACTAGAGACCAGTTTCATGAAAGACAACTTTTCCACAGATGTTGTGGGGATGGTTTTGGGGTGAAACTGTTCCACCTCAGATCATCAGGAATTAGCTTCTCATAAGGAGCGAGCAACCTAGATCCCTCAACTTGCAGTTCACAACAGGGTTTGAGTTCCTATGAGAATCCGATGCCACAGCTGATCTGACGGGAGGTGGAGCTCAGGCTGTAATGCTCGCTTGCCTACCACTCACCTGCTGCTGTGTGGCCTGGTTCTTAAGAGTCCATGGACAAGTACCACTCTGCAGCCAGGGGGTTGGGGACCCCTGACATAGAGTATTAATATTTTATCTGTAAAGTTAAACAACATATAAAGAATGCAACACTATATATTATTTGATTAACAATGTATATTACAAAATATTCAGAAATGCATGAGAATAAGAAACAACAATTTAAAGATACTGGTTATCTCTATCAAAAGGAGTTTACACAATTGATACAGAGTACACACATGACTTCAACTGACTTGGTAAGGTTTTATTTATTTATTTATTTGTATACTAGATGGTGCATATGCAGATATTCCTGGAAATAGTTTTACACGACTCTATAGATCTTAAATATTTTATAATACATTTCTAAAGAAAACATCTCTTAGGATACATTGTTTTCTTATATATCGTAAACAAAATTTAATTTTCAAGAGATCATTAAAAAATTAAAATTATTTTATTTACATATATACTGATTAGTATTGTTAATAAAAAATACTAGTAAGTATTATTGCTAGTAAGATAATTGCATGGCCTTTTTTTTAATACACATTCAAATAGTTCACATTCTGTAAGCAGGAATATGATGTTAAGAACATTTATCATTAAAACTTATCAAAAATAAAGGTGTGTCCTCTTCAGCTAGAAGTATATAGAACTATATAGCTATCAACTGTTTTGATAAAAATAAGTTAATTTGACATTATTAATTGTAAATTAAAATATCAATGAGTTATTTGCCTTCAACCAAGAATGGTAATCTTACGTGCAATGAGTAAGTGCAGGCTACTGGCAATTACTGTTAAAATTCATTCAGAAAAAAATATGGGAGAAAGTATTAATATTAAAATATGTATATTATTTTTAAAACTAGAAGTTCAGCCCGTACCTAAGGAAAACAAAACTTTTTAAAAGCCTAAATAAAAAAACATGGGGCATTACTCTCTAGGGAAAAGTTTGCAACTGCAAAATGTATATAACCACTTAAATGTTTATAAATAGGGGACTGACAATAAATGATTATGGCACATTCATCATAAGAAATATGCCTATTTAAAAAATATTTGGATTGTAAATGATCGGCAAGAATATAAGTAAAAAATATTAAGTAGAAAAAATAAAATGTATCTATTATAAGTTTTTTATATACCATGTATATTTGCTTATACATTATATATCTCAAGATATCACTGAAAATAAAACAAAATAACTGCATGTGAGTACGTATGTGTAATTATAGAGAAGAATGTGAAAAGGTTCACAAAAAACTATGACAAAAAATCCAGGACCTTGCACTGGAAGAATAAATCAATACATAAGTGTGTCTACAACTTATCATTTCTTTTGTTACCAAGAGTATTTATTATTTGTGTGAGAATATTTTCAAAGATCAAATAGCCTACGAAGTAAAAAATGAATTGTGATTGTAATACATTTTTTAAGGGAACATAAGTCAAGTCCTCCTAAGGAAATTCATATAATTTAGAAGCAGGATATAAATATAAAATAAAATGTCTTCTACTTTGTTAGTATGCAATTTTTATCTCTGTAGGATATACATATACTCCTCTTCAGACAGTAAATGAGGATATTTTTTCTCCCATTTCTTAATCTGGTGCTATAGGATGGTGATTAACATCTGGGAGTGGAGATGACTGAATTGGCAACTGGAAAACCAAAAGAAGCTTCCATTCATGTGTACAAATCAAGTCTCTTGATAATGATTGCAGACATGATGTGAAGTGCTTATTGCTAGTGAATCATAGTTGGCCCAAAGATTTTGCTGTGAAAAGGCTTCTTGATTCTCAAACTTTTAATAAGAAATGGTTGTAAAAGGGCTCTGCCAAATCAGAAATTTGTATTAAAGCAACATCATAACATTCTTGATTGCTTTTCCCCAGGCTTAGCCCATCCGGCAGTGCATTCACTAAGAATGAACCTGGTGCAAAAAGGGCAAAGGGCATTCTTGTTGTGCAAACTTGAAAAAACAGAATACCATCCTTCTTTTTGTAAGTCTTTTAACACAGACGTAGATTACAAAATAAATGATATAAGGAGAAGGAAGCATTTAGCTTTGCAACTGAGTGGAGTCCTTGCTAGAGGGCTAGAAGGTCCCTGCATAGAAACGCTTTCACTCTGGTAGGTGTTTTCACAACCTTTTATCTATTTCAGCTACTTCTTGTGGAGACAATTAAAGTTCCTGCTTACATTTGTAAGCAAAATCATTGAAATGCTCCTTGAAATTGTTGAGTTGGAGGCCCATGGAGGATGAGACTATAAAGAAGTTTTTATAGAATAAAAAGATAAAAATAACTTCAGAATTATAATGGCAGGGATGATTTTAAACATCAACATATCTAGGAAACTGCAGAAATGGAAAGAGCTGATCTAAAAGAAAAACAGAGAATGAAAGATACAAGCACTGCATTTCTATCTCATCTAGGTGTGAATTTCCTCAAACTTTCCAAGGTGATGAGATTCCTTGCTATATCTTAATCTAAGGGAAAAAATATAAAATGAAATATAAAATAAATTTAATACTATAGTTTATAGATGCCTTTGCTCATTGAAATAGAATCACAGGAAAGGAGCTTAGATGTGATTAAGCCCAATCCCCCAGGAAAATTGGGGCACAGAGAAGTGAAGAGATTTACACACATTTATGAGAGAAGACAGCCATTATTGGAACAGGAATTAACATGTAGGACTGCTAAACCTTATTTGGTGATTTTTTTTTGTATAAAGAGAGAAATAATAAAACAATTCATTTATATAGTTGAAAAATAAATATTTATTAGACACATCTTAGTAATCTGATATTCTCCTAGGTCTCAGGATAGAGCTGAGAAGAAGACATCTTTTGTTGAGATACTGCTTAGATTCTAATAGGGGAGACAGGAAATAAAAAAGTGAAAGAAGGAAAAAAAAGATGCAAAATGGTAATTATTGTTGCATAATAAATAGAATAAAATGTGCAAATGTGATATCACCTGAGAAGGTGATATTTGAGCTGTATTCTGAAGGACAAGGGTCTTTCACTACAGGGAATATGTTAAGAGAATATCTGGCAGAGGGTCTTGAGATTCCCAAATCTGAAAAGGCAGAATGAGTTTGAGATGCTTAAGCATCAGAAGGAAAGATGTGTTTGGAGAATAGTAACCATGCAGGCAGGTGTTAATCAAAATGGTGTGGAACTATTCAGGGGTCAGATGAAGTAAGACATTGAAAGAATATAAATAAGCCTGGATTTTATTTTAATGATAGAAAAAGCCATTGGCATATTTTAATCACAGAAGCTTTTAGATTAATATGCTATGAACGAATTGATTTATATAGAGGCAATAGCAGAATCCGAGAAATCAATTAGAAGTTTATTGATTTAGTTCAGACAATAATAAACAATACTTTGATTAAAGCGCCAGTAATAAAAAACAGGAATCTTTGATTACCTATCCTTTATATTTTGAAGATAAGTCTGATAATTCTTCAAAATAAACACAATATGAGAAATTAGTTGAAAAGAAGAATTAAGTGTATTCCCCTTGGTTTGAGCAACTGGGTGAGCTGTGGTATCCTTAAGATGAGAAAAAACAGGGCTGTTGTGGAGTAAAGTCAGGAATCAAATTTGGATTTGTTATCTTAAGAAATGTATGAGACAACAACATGGAGGTATCAAGGAGACCATGGGATTTATGAATCTGGATTTCAAGGCTCCCATCTGGGTAAAGATATAAATGCAAAGTCATCTACATATAGATGGGGACAGTGTAACATCAAACTCTAGGGATCTCTAGCTCAGTGAACTAGAGGCAGCATATGTAACTGAGAGGAAATGTACTATGAGGTGGGAAGAAAATGATAAAATTATGGTGTCATGGTGAAATCACCTTTGCAAGATTGTGACTCAGACGGTGAGAGAGATCTAACTTAACTGACTCCATCTTGCTTCTAAGCTCCAGACTGTCTTTGTTCATTCCTGGGCATAGGCTGAAATAACTTTGAGAGAAACTTAGTTTATAGTTTGTGGTTTAAGGCAAAAATGATAGTGGCCCTTTCCCAGGGCAGACCTCCTTCTTGCCTGGGGACTAGATTGCCTTTGTAGGACTAACATTCGCCACAGGATTAGAAATTATGGTTTAGGAGTCATGCCACTGCAGGCTGTGAGATTCTGACCCTTCCTTAACTGTTCCTATGATCAGTGCTTGAGATATTTTATGGACCCTGCACTTGATGGATGAGCTGGCACCATCCAGATCAATAAACTGGTTCATCTGATCTTGTGGCCCCCACCCAGGAACTGACTCAGTGCAAGAAGACAGCTTTGACTCCTTATGATTTCATCTCTGACCAATCAGCATTCCTGGCTCACCGGCTTCCCCCCACCCACCAAGTTGTCCTTACAAACTCTGCTCCCTGAATGCTCATTCGGGAAGACTGATTTGAGTAATAATAAAACTATGGTCTCTCTCACAGCCAGCTCTGGGTGAATTACACTTTCTCTGTTGCAATTCTCTTTATAAATTGGCTCTGTCTAGGCAGCACACAAGGTGAATCCACTGGTCAGTCACAATGGAAGACAAGAAGTTAGTGTGTTTCAAGAAGTAAAATGTCATCTCTATTAAGTGCTATGCAGAGCTCTTGAAGTCACCTTTGCAAAAATCATAACTGAGAAAATTATGACAGTGAAACTTACTAGACCTAATTGACCCCATCTTGCTTGTAACCTCTAAACTGTCCTTGTTCATTCCTGGGCACAGGTCAAACTAGATTTGGGAAGGAATTTAGTGTATAGTTTATATATAATAGCCCTTCCCAAAAGGCTAAGCTGTTCTTGAAAAACAAATGAAAGGTCACGAGCCACCAAGTCAAAATGAGAGGGGCTGGAATTCTAAATATTACCAGCTATTATTCTGGAGGTCGTAAGATTTGCAACTTCCTCATTCCTCTTGAAGCTAACATCACTATTGTGAACCTAAGATCGGCCTTTTGAGGTGTCTTTTCGGTTTTTTGCATTTCCAACAGCCAGATGGCTCCACTTTGACCTGCCAGTCAGTTCTGCGGCCCCCACCAAGGAACTAACTCAGCAGAAGAGAACAGCTTGACTACCTGTGATTTGATACCCCAGCCAACCAATCAGCACTCCCGATTCACTGGCTCCCTACCCACCAAATTATCCTTAAAAACTCTGATCCCGGAGTGTTCGGAGAGACTGATTTGAGTAGTAATAAAACTCCCATGTCCCGCACAGCTTGCTTTGCGTGAATTACTCTTTCTCTATTGCAGTTGCCCTGTCTTGATGAATCAGCTCTGTCCAGGCAGCTGGCAAGCTGAAGCCCTTGGGCAGTTATACTCACACGAGATGAAAGAAGTTTTGGCTGGGCGTGGCTGCTCACGCCTGTAATCCCAGCACTTCGGGAGGCCGAGGTGCGTGGATCACCTGAGGTCAGAAGTTTGAGACCAGCCTGGCCAACATGGCGAAACCCCGTCTCTACCAAAAATACAAAAATTAGCCAGGCGTGGTGGCGCATGCCTGTAATCCCAGCGAGTAAGGAAGCTGAGGCAGGAAAATCGCTTGAACCCAGGAGGTAGAGGTTGCAGTGAGCCGAGATCGCGCCTTCTCCCACCAGCCTGGGCGACAGAGCGAGACTCAGTCTCAAAAAAAAAAAAAAAAAAAAAAGAAGTTTTATGTTTTTCAGATTTGGCATACAGCAAGTTACCATGGACCTTGACAAGAGGTATTTTACAATTAAAGATATAGGAATATTACATAAAATTGTATATGATGCCAGTACAAAATGGGAAAGAACTAAAATAATCTGAATAAAAGAAGTTTGAGAAGGATTGTTAATATATTTAATCTTGCTTATACTTTCATAATTTAAGAAATTTCAATGGCATTTTTAATGAGAAAAATCTGGTCCTATATAGTTAGCCTGAGAAATTCCTGTAGGCAAAAAGGTTAGCTCTGTCAGAAATGAAGTTAAGTCATGACTATTCAAGCAAAATAAATAATTAAATTTCATTGTATAAGATAATTATCTCAGGAAATAGTGTATGATGTGAGTCTCCTGGTTAGAGATGGAACATAACATGGTAGATTACATGATGTGTATAATTACAGAGTACTTTAGAATAATAGGTACCAATCCTGTGTTATTTTTCAATCTTTTGATACTTTTAAATATAATGCCTTTCAATTAATTTTTATTTCTGAAATATATTACTAGATGTTTAGACAGGCATTTCCAAAGCTCAAGTTATGCTACACATAAAATAGACTACCAGCTACTTACTAATTTTTAACAATTCTAGATACTCTTAAAGTTACTTCCCCTGGCTTACAGTGGAAGCAAAACTAGTCAGTTGTATAATTGATTGGGTAGTTCTTTTTCTAAGGTAGTTTAATATCATTTGTCAAAATCATCATGCTGATTTGAGAATGCAAATTGGTTAAATTTAGGTAGCTAAAAGTGCCCTCAAAGAAAAAAATAGGACTTTATTTTACAATAATTTATTTAGTTAACACTGTTGGCTGGGTTAGGTAATATTGGACCACTCCATATAAAAATAAAGTGGATATCACTGATGACTCAACTTACTTAAAAATGGATCTCCAACTAATTTTAGCTGATACTTTTAGTGAGAATAGTTAATATTCAGGATGAACAAGGTTTTTTTCCTTTTTTTGATAGGTACTCTTCTTTTCACATCAGGAGAATATTATGTTGAAGGGATGCTCATTCAGAAACATCATGCATCCAAACTCCAGTATCCCCAGCATTGAATAGTGTGATACAAACTGTTTCTTATGGATAGAAAATTAATTAATTTGAATTCCTGCTTTCTTTGCTCTTGTGAAGTCTGGGAAGAGCAGTACAGCTGTAATAAATGAGGTTAAGTCTAAATTCAGATTTGTAGTCTTACTTTATTATTTTGAGAATACAATACATGAACTCACTTTGTATTTCTTTTTTTTGTTTTGTTTTGTTTTTTTGTTTGTTTTTAAGACGGAGTCTTGCTCTGTCGCCCAGGCTGGAGTGCAGTGGCGCGATCTCGGCACACTGCAAGCTGCGTCTCCCGGATTCATGCCATTCTCCTGCCTCGGTCTCCCGAGTAGCTGGGACTACAGGCGCCTGCCAACACGCCAGGCTATTTTTTTTTTAATTTTTATTTATTTATTTATTTTTGAGACGGAGTCTCGTTCTGTCACCCAGGCTGGACTGCAGTGGCGTGATCTCGGCTCACTGCAAGCTCCACCTCCCGGGTTCTCGCCATTCTCTTGCCTCAGCCTCCCGAGTAGCTGGGACTACAGGCGCCCGCCACCACGCCCGGCTAATTTTTTTCTTGTATTTTTAGTAGAGACGGGGTTTCGCTATGTTAGCCAGGATGGTCTGGATCTCCTGACCTCGTGATCCGCCCACCTAGGCCTCCCAAAGTGCTGGGATTACAGGTGTGAGCCACTGTGCCCGGCCTCATTTTGTGTTTAATAAGAAAAGTTTGGCTTACTTCAAAACAATTGAGGGACTTTTTCAACTTAAAGGAAAGGCATTATTTCCTAACATGCATTTTTACTGGAAGACAGTCAACTAAGAGCTTCAAATGGGTTTGTTATCTGTAACAAATGCATGAGTTAGGGTGTATGATTTTAGAATGGAAATGTATAAAGTAAAAAGCAGAAAGTTGAAATACAACCCATCAACATGTGGAATCCAACTGTTCAAATTGCTTCTGAATGCAGAAAGTGAAAAAAAGAAAAAAAAAAGCCTAATATTCCTGATTCATTTTCATGATCCATTGGCCAGCTGCTATGAGAAGAATCACTAATGAAGCTTGCGGTTTCATGCTGTTTGGCCCCACAGCATGAGCCATGTGTCACCTTATGGTCACATTCTGTATTTGCTCTTCACACCAAAAAGGTCCATGTGTTTTGAACACATTAAGATATGATATGTACATATTATTCAGCTTTCTTTGAAAATCACTGACAGCTACCATACCATTTGTGGGAGTGACAGCGTTCAGTGGAGCATTGTTCTGTGAAATAGAGTACAGAATTACACAGTGTGAAAGGAAAAATGTAAAATCAAAAGTTTTCCAGAAGCTATTATTTAGTAAGGTTTTTGTTAAGGAGTTAATACTGTAAGCGCTTACCTGTAATTTTTGTTTCTTCTTCTGAGAAAACTTGAGTTTTGCAAACAACCAGAATTTAGTGTGTATTACCTGTTTTTTGATGTTCCTATCATTTATTAGGTTTGTGTTGTATTTCATAGAACTGTAAGAAACTGTGTGGTCTTTGACATTACAGCTTACGATTGAGTGTTGACAGCATAACGATGAGAATTTCTTACTACATTACTCTTACAAGCATTAAAAATAAATCTCATAAGTGTACTTTTAAGTTCTTGCATCTCAAAGTGAGCAGCACTGTTTTTTCTTAAGCCACCTACTGGTTGCTGAGGTTGTTCAGTTGATTCAAGTATAAATATGAAGCTCATTTATGTCTCTGTTCTTATTTTGGAATTGAAGTTGAGATTGTGTTTCAAATGCAAAGAATTTATAGAATTTTATCTATGAATACTGCTGTCGTTAAAAGATGAGCATGTATCCTATGTTTATCTACTAAAACATGCCCTAACTCAGAATGTTTAACCTAAGTTAGTGCAGTGATTAAGTGTGCTTTCTTACATTATTTAGTTCATTATATCATGAGTTTGCTCTATGAATAATACATTATGCATATAAGAAAATTAGAGAAATTATAGTAACATAGAAGACCACACTGCTGGCACTAGCTGAGTTAGAATTACAGCCAAAGCACTTGCCTGGATATTGTAGGTAAAATAGAAATTCACTGTAGTTACCTATTTTCATATAAAGCATAATGATAATTTTTCAAGTACCTAGAAATATCATATTTTTGTTTTTTCTAAGAATCATTCACATTTGGTTCCCCCAGAAAATAGAATTTGATGATCTGAGATCAATGGAAAAGCAACTGGTTGAGATGTTTTCTTATAACTGCCCAATGAGTTATTTTGCCTGCTTCCCACATAGAGCTGATGTATCAAGACAAAGAAATTACAATAGAGAAAGATTTCAATACACAGACAGCTGTCTAAAAGGGTGACTGGAATTTATTATTACTGAAATCAGCCTTCCCCAGAATTTGGAGGTTAGGGCTTTGCAAAGATAGTTCCCCAGGGAGAGGGCTGGCTAGGGAATGGGTGTTACTGACTGGTTGGAGATGCAATCATAAGGATATGGAAAATAGTTCTCATGCATTTAGTCCACTTATGAGCGGGGCCCACAGCACTCTGGGTGGGGCCATCTAGTCATCAGAGATGCAAAAGCCTGAAAAGATATCTCAAAAGGCCAGTCTTTGGTTCTACAATGGTGATTTTATCTGCAGAAGTGATTGGGGAAGGTGCAAATTATGTGACCTGTGGAATAATGGCTGGTAATCATTTAATGCCTATATCTTAGCATAATTCTCACTTCTCTCATCTTCCTAACCTGGTGGTCTTTCACTAGTTTTATAAAGGTGGTTTAATGGAAGGGAAGGGCTATCATCATTTAAACTATACATTAAATTTTTCCCAAAGAAAATGTGGTCCAAGCCCAGGAATGACCAAGGGCGGTTTGCAAGACGAAAGCAAAATGGAGTTGGTTACATCAGATCCTTTTCACTGTCAGAATTTTCCCACTGTTATGATTTTTGCCAAGGCAGCTTCATTCTCAGAAAGAAAGCCTGTTTCAGGGAAGGAAGCAAGATTAGACAGAGTGGGGAGTAAGACTTGGATGTCCTTGGAATAAAGGACTTAGCTTGTCCAAAGATAAGTTTTGGAGCTAGGATGAATGGATTTTGAAGCACGATGGCCAGGCATTTAAACTCCATCAAGATTATTAACTAAATATGGGCCACCCTGAGGAGGAGACAAAGCCTTGCCCAAGTTGCTTTTTCATCTAAGAGCAATTTCAAAGAAGGGATTTGGTTATCCTATAAATCTATATCTATGAACACCATTTTACATGAAGTTAAACATGTTCAAAATGTCAGTCTGTTATTTAAAGTTTATCTTTGTTTTTATAATTAACAATGTGTAATATTACCTTAAAAATTGGAAGTGATCAAAGAAGTTCAACCATTTTGATAAAAATGACATTATTAATGCCATTTATTAATTTTTATGCTGCTGATGATACTGATGGGTTATAAATGTGTGTGTTGTTAAATTTGGGGGTGTTTTTATAAAACATTATAAAAATCAGTTTTTGGTTATAAGGTACGTAAAATGTTTTGTTAAAGTTTGAACTCATGATTAGCCAGAGGTAAACAGCAACATAGAAATTATAATGGAAAAACAAATGTCTTTGAGAAAATATAGCACTTGAAATGTCTGAATGTATTATATTATAAATATGCTAAATAAATTTATAAAAAAAAAAGCTAAAAAATCTAAATCTCCCAATAAACTGTCAAAATGCCACATTGGTGCCTAGCAAAGTGATAATAAATAGAATTCAGTAAAATCATCCACCCTTCAGAATCCCTGGAATCTATTATTGTATCCTTCTTCCCAACATTTCATAGGGTCATTGCTATTATCCACTTTTACAGAGAAGAAAATTGAAGTTCAATGGGAATGAAGGAATAAGGCCGTTTAGCTAAGACATGAAAGATGTGATCATGTATCCATATTCTCTTAAAAAACTACCACTTAAAATCCCTGAAATTCATTGTGCTAACATGAAGGAAGAGAGGGTGGCGAGAAAAAATAAATCACAAAAATAAGAAAACTAGGAAGGAGACACTGCCTCCCCACATGAGAATAACATAACATATATGATAACGAAAGAAAAACACATGAATATGTATGGATTTGATACGGTGCTATGACCTGTATTTTGAGCTGGAATCTCTTTAGTTAAGTATTTCAACACAAGTGAGTATCTACTGTGTTTTTGGTACAGGATATAAGGTATTTTGACCTCACAGGAGCCAGTATTTGGAAATTAAGGATTCCTCTCTTTTCTTTAATTAGAATCTCTTTCAGAAGTACATTCATATAGAAATAAGGTTTTTAAAAAAGGAAGCTTGGTTTTTTGTTTTAACTCACATAATAATTGATAGTATGAGCTATATGTACTCTAATTTTAGAGATTTTATTCAATATGTTATAAAATTCAATTATGAGTTTACAATTTTAAAATCTACTTGTAATTTAATACATAGTTGACAATTAGTCTTTGTCATATTTAAGTCATTCTATTTCTTGGAATCAGGCCAAAATTTGGGAGTAGTTAGGCAACTATTGCTATCCATCTTTTGAAAAAAAGATGCCTTTCTAGAGATTATTTTTGTTTTGTTTTGATATTTAAACTTCATTGTATGACTTTATCTGAGGCTTACCCTCTGGTTTCCCCATGCTCTGAAATTTAGCAAGGAAAGTTAAAGAAAATCTTAATGTTTAGAAGTGAAGTTCTGAATGTAAAGTCATGTGAGAAAAGTAAACATTATTTATGGAAATTAATGGTTGCCAAGATAGTAGAAAACAGAATATAATTTAAAATAAATTTTCATATGTAATTTTTAGAAATAGAGGCATAAGGACTGGGAAAGAAAAAAGAAAGAAAAGGAAGATATGTAAAAATTAGAATATGTGTGTACAGAGAAAATCCTTCTACGCTTTTTGTTCCAAAATTTTATTTAAAATGTTTAAACATTCTGTAAAGGTGAAAGAAATTTATTGTGAATACCCACCACCTCTCATTTAATATTTTATTATATTTGCTTTAACATGTATCTGCCCATTTATCCATCCCTTTTTCATCAATATTTCTTATTTATATATTTTAAATTTAATCATGTTATGATTTTAAATTATTATTCAAGATGCTCATGGTAGTCTTCTTCAGATCTTTGCAAAAATGTTTTATCAATTCATCCTGCCTTGAACACAGTATTATTTTTAAAATTGCAACTCTTGGCAGGGCAAGGTAGCTCACGCCTATACTCTCAGCACTTTGAGTGGCCAAGGCGGGCAGATCTCTTACGGTCAGGAGTTTGAGACCAACCTAACCAACATGGTGAAACCCTGTTCCTACTAAAAATATATACATATATAAATTAGCTGGGCATGGTGGTGTGTGCCTGTAATCCCAGCTACACAGGAGGCTGAAGCAGAAGAATTGCTTGAAACTGGGAGGCAGAGGTTGCAATGAGTCGAGATCAGGCCACTGCATTCCAGCCTGGGAGACAGAGCAAGACTCCATCTCAAAATGTAAAAATAAATAAATAAATAAATAAATAAATAAATAAATAAATAAAACAAAGTAAAATGAAATAAAATTGCAAGTCTCTAAGCACACACAAAAACACACACATACATGCTCATGCATCCATGCTAGCATGCACGTGCATGCACACACACACACACGCACATCCAATTTCCCATTGCGACATGTATATTTTTACATAGCCCTTAACACCTTCCAGCTTATGAAAATGTACACAACATAAAGGCAGGAATTTGTTTTTTATTCTCTAATTTATTTCAAAAATCTAGAAGAGAGTATGGTGCATAGTATACGGTCAATATATATCAGTTGTATTTTATTGTGTGCATATGTGATGGCAAATGATACCTCATTGTAAATTATGTCAAGTTTTTGGGATATATCTTCAAGTTTAAATATGCAATCATATCATTTTAAGATACCAATACAGCTCTGTAAATTGATCCAAAGCTCCTTTCCAATAATATCTGCTATTAATTTTACAACTTTTATTTCAGTTTCTTTCTAAAGTTATCTCTGTCCTGAATAACTGCCAAAATAAAGTTTTAAATGAGAAAAAAATGTACATATGCCAATTTCATCTTTGGTTTGCATTCCTACCATCAGTGTCATTTCGTATTTGTTGATTCAGCGCTAATCTATTGCTAAATTACTTCATTTGTTTCTACTACTTCTAATTGATTTTACTACTTCTATATTTATTACAAAAGTCAAAATTAATAAAGTAATTGAAAGCTGATGTATGTTAAACATTTCCCCTTCCCAAACTACCACCACAGACACAAAAACATCTGTCTCTTTTTCATTATATATGGAAGATCAACAAACCTCCAAGATTTAATGTTTCAATGGCAAAGTGGTAGGTTGGGTTTTTGAGGGCCCCTCAGATTTCTGTCATGCCCTCAAATTTACAGAAAGCCAGCTTCTTATGCTTCCTATTATAAACCGTGCTCTGCTTTCCTGTTTTGACAATCTGTTTGTTATGATGAGGTCTTGGCTTTGACTTAATCTTGACATCAGTTGGCTTTTAGCTGAAAATCTGCAATTGAGATGCTGAAGCTGTCACTCTTGTTGACCTTTTAACAGCCTAGTGTCAGAGACTCATTTCTTTTTGCTAGACTTAAGTTAACCAGAGATTCCGTGGGCCAATTTAAATGAGAGATTTGGAAAAGCAAGCTAACAAACTGACAAATAGGATTAAAACATTCAATGTGTGAAAACATGCTTGTTATTCCATCAGATGATAGAATTTTGGGTTGGCTTATATAAGCTGCTTTTCAAAATACATGAGCCAAATTCAGCAGATAATTTTTCATTTCTCCTTCGATGTTGCTTGTGAATATTCCTTCTGAAACTAAAACTGTTCAATTCTAGAGACTATATTATTTTACACTAAAAACTTTCCTGATAGAATTCAAATGCAATGGAAATTGAGTATTACAAATAAACAGTATTTATATAAATAAAGGATGTTCACTATGTCTATATTATAAACTATGTTTTAAAAATATTGCAAGGATAACTGTCTTTACGTTGTTAAGCATAAAATGTCCACAAAAGCCAATAATAAAGTTTCAGAAATGCATATGAATTTCTTACATGGTAAAGTATATTTTAAGAATTATAATTATATCAACTCATATGTCATTGAAATATAACGTGTAATTTATATACCTTAACCATGAAATCTTGAAAATATGAAAGTATTTATTAGCATTTATTTCTTACATTTAGGTATGCATTTATATTAAAGAGTGCTTAAGGTATACATTTTATTTTTTCAAAAATTTTGTGCTTTTAAATGCTGCATAATTCTTCTATGACATTCTCAGAACATATGTATTCATGATCTATATTTGGGGTTACATTTTCTTTTTTCTCTGCATTTTTCCTTTCAATCCTTTCCCAATACATGCTTGATTCATATTAATCCTTTAATAGTAATTCTACCTCATCATTATAATAAACCATTTTAATGAGCATTTTAAAAACACTTCTGACATTCTTATCAAGCATTTAATAGCACAAATTAAGTAAATGACAAATTATGATTTCATTTGTATTCACTGTAATACTGTTATTCATCAGGCATTATTTTGGCATTCATGTGAATACAACTCTCTATTTCCATGAAAATTTATTTTTATTTTGTCCTTAATTGAGTCAACTTGACACATTGTTCTAGACGGTTTAGCTAGCTGGTTTCAGGCTCAGAGTACCTAAAAAATAACCGAGGTTCAACAGGAAGAAGAGAAATTCTACACTTTCAAGAAATATTTTGTTAGGCCAGTATTGAAAAGGCATTAAAATGTAAATTTGGAAGAATTTGTATAGCAATCAGAATTTCTGTTTCATCTTTTGCTTTATCATCAAAAAGTTTATTTTGCAGAAATAAACTTTTGGAGTATGTTTTCCAGCTTGTTATGATTCCATTTGACTTTCATATTGTCCTTGTTTCCTACTTTGTATTAACTTCCTATCGCTCGCAGACCAGTGAGCTTGCACCACTCAGGACACAGGGTTTCTTAAAGAGTATTGGGGATACTTTGTCCCTGTGTCATCTGTGAAGTTTGGTTCTAACCTCAGTTCAGGAACAGGATATCATGTAACTGATGATGTTATCAGTAGACAGGTAATTAGGCAGAGTAAGATTTGTTAGTGTTTCTGTAAAGGAATTTGTAACAGCATCAACCAGTTGCCTGGGTTAAACTATTCTTGATTACAGGCAGCAAACTCTGGTACCAGATGGCTGTCCTGGAAAATGGAATGGCTACTTGTGATTCTTTGTGTTTATGACAATTGCTAGATTCCAGAAATGGTTCTTAAATTAGGGAAATTATAATGGAACCAAGTTGGTTTTTAAGAAATTTTCAGGAGAAAAAAATGTAAATAGTCCAACTATCACAGTCCTTGATACTATGTTTTGCTTTTGTTTTTCTTCCCTTGTATTCATTATCATAAAGAAGGCCCTTAACTTCACTTTTTTTTTTTTTTTTTTTTTTTGAGACGGAGTCTGGCTCGTCGCCCAGGCTGGATTGCAGGGGCATGATCTCAGCTCACTGCAAGCTCCACCTCCTGGGTTCACGCCATTCTCCTGCCTCAGCCTCCCGAGTAGCTGGGACTACAGGCGCCCGCCACCACGCCCGGCTAACTTTGTGTGTGTGTGTGTGTGTGTGTGTGTGTGTGTGTGTGTGTTTAATAGAGACTGGGTTTCACCGTGTTAGCCAGGATGGTCTCGATCTCCTGACCTCGTGATCCGCCCGCCTCGGCCTCCCAAAGTGCTGGGATTACAGGCGTGAGCCAACACGCCCGGCCAACCTCACTTTTTTACCTTTTTAATGATCACTTCTACATTAGGAGCTTATTTTGTATTGAATCAACTTTTCTAATATAGTAAAAAGACAATATTTCAAGCATATTTTTCTAGGTAGCAATCATTGTTGAGTTTAAGGTTTATTGTTCCTGTCATGCTTTCTTAAAAAAGTACTTGCAATAATTAAACTTCCATGAAGACGAGTCCTCACAAAGGCCTTTGTGTATCAATCAACCCTACACCACCCATGCCCCTACTCATAAACATTTATATTTGCTATCCGTTAGTTTTTATCTTTTTATCTTGTCTAGCATTTTTCGTCATGTTTAAAGAGAAAGCCCGTAGTTTGCAGAGACAGAAGTTCCTGCTCTGCCATTTTTAGTTACGTGTAAGAGACTGCCCAGGCTCCACATTTTATAGTATAACTTTCAATAATAAATTGACCTTTCTAGGCCTCTCATTTTCATCTGCAAATGTAAATAATGCCACTTAGCTTGCCAACCCCATAAGGATTTTTTGAGTTTCAGTGATAATTATGAATTTATAGCCTGTTTTGGAAAATAAAGCATTGCTTTCACAACTACTATTTCAGGCCAAGCCATTTTATTTCTATATCTTCACATCTAAATGAAACTTGTTAGATTTAGAAGTATGATGGTAGAAGCGATGGAAAAGGAAAGGAAAGTAATACGGTTTTACTGTCAGGAGTGAAAAAGGAAATGAGGTTGAATGTTTTTTTCTTTTTTGTGGGACGCAGTCTCCACTCTTGTCACCCAGGCTGCAGTGCAATGGCGCTACCTTGGCTGACTGCAAGCTCCGCCTCCTAGGTTCAAGGTTGAATGTTTTTTTCTAAGATAAAAATCTATTCCAACCAGAATTTTCCTAAAACACAAGTTTGAAAATAGTGTTTTGCTGCTCAGTATTCTTGTCAATAAGATAGACTTCTAATCATTATGCATAGCATAAAAGATCCTCCATGATCTAGGCCCTACCTATATTTCCAGTCTTTTATTTTATTATTGTTTATTTTCTTAGCCATGCGGTCAGCAAACTGAGCTATACATACTAGGAATTTCCCAAATATGCTTTTGTTTCATGCATTCATGTTTTTTTTTTCAATTGATGATCTTTTTGATTAGAATTCCCTACTGTTTTTGTCAAATGGCTATCTTTTCTTGACATTTTAAGAATCTAATCTTGTGGTATCTCCACTAAGAATTACGTTTAACATGAGGAATTAAAGTGATTACTCCTTTGCTTTAGCTGTCATTGTGAATTCTATTCAGTCTTTTTAGATACAAAGGCGGGAGAGCGAGAATAGAATGAATAGCCAATAATAAGGCTGAAGGAAAAGAGAAAAGACTACGTTTTGGAAAATTATGAAGGATTTTTGAACAACCTTCTCTGGAAATCAGATGTTTATTTTTTCCATGTAGCTAGAGTTGGCCTAAAAGGCGGCGGGGAGAACTGACTCTTTTTAAGTGCAAATCTTGGAACTGAGGCTTGATACAAGAGGCAGTAATATGCATTTGAAGAGGCCACGTCAGAAAGGAAGAATCCAGGCATGACTGTGGCTAAATCAGAGTAACATAGTATAGAAAGCAGAAAGCTGAACCTGGAGTGGTTCCTGAAAATGAAATCTAGTGGATATTAGCTGCAGAAAAGGATTTTTTTGTTTCTTCTCTGTTTTTTTGTAGCAGAATATTTTGGACTCATTCATAGAAAGGGAACAAGCTGTTAAGGAAACCAAGCCAGTTCAGAAAGATAAAAACAAGGATGACCTGGGATCAGGCCAGGGTCTGAAGAATGAACTTTTGAGTTAATTAATTGTGCGGAGTGTGCTGTGGCTCTACCACACAAGCCTGATATTATTCTTTAAATACATTCCCCCAAAATTTGATAAAAGAAGTATGCATTCGCATAATGGCTCTTAAAGTAAAAGCACTCTTTTTTGAAATGACTATATACAAAATAGAAAATAATATGAAAAATAATTGCAATTGTTGCATAGCTATTATGTACAAGATACTGTGCTAAGCAACATATGAAAATAATCACATTGACTCAGCTGAAAAAAATTCTAATAACCATTTTATGAAAAAAGCAAGTTGAAATTTAGAAGCATTATGCAATTTGATGAAGACCCATGAGTATTAAGGAAAGCCACAATACAAGCTAGGTGTGTCTGTCCATCAATGTTGAGCCTTGAAAGTTTTTGCTCCTCACAATCAATCCTACCTCTATTTGATTGCTTTGTGGGTAACTTGTTGCAGCCCTTCATGTAGAAAGCTGTGTAATTTTTCATAAGAAAGTGCAGTTTAAAGCCTTTATTTTAATTATTCTAATATCCCCTAGTACATATCAACCTTATGATTAAGTTTTACATACACAAGCTAAAGTTGAAATAAAAAATGTATTAATAGAAGCCTTTTGCGCACTCACAAAGCAGTATTTGGAAGAATGCAATTCAAGGAAGATGAGTTGGCGTTTCCATTTTTAATTTAAATAATTACTTGCTGACTATCTAATATTTTTGGAGTCAGATTCAGAAATATTTTTCAGGCTCTGGATCTGCAAGTTTGCATCAATTTACATATTTTAAAGCAAAATAAGGTTTTATTATTGAAACTTTCTATACAACAAAGAAACATTTTAAGGTTAGATGCAAATGCATGTATTCTGTTAGTCATGAAACTAGGATTAGGTTTCCTGATGCTTAGTAAAATACTTAGGATATAAAAAATTCTAACTTTAGGTAACAAATGCTTATATTTTTTTTCTTCAATCCTCTCTAAACCTTTCATTGGACTTCTAGGTATTCGTGAGTAGGCTTCTCATTGAAAATAGGCATTGATAATTCTGTCTATAAAATACTGCATATTGAGGAAAAGAATGGTATTTTATTTAACTTGTCCTTCTTTTTGTTCTAAATTATAATTTATACTTGACATTGGGTATGAATATAAGAAATATGAGAAACTTAGGCCAGTAATCCTAATACAGTTTTAACAATGAAGGAACTTGCTAGTTGGTTTCAAATTTCCTGAAACTTTATCGTTAATTTAGCCCTGCATAATGGAGAATCAGGTTTTTGCACTTGTCACAGAAATGTATAAGAAACAACCTTTTTTTTTAATAAGATGGTAATGCAATTTAAAAAATAGTCCTCATCCTGAAGTTGGCTCATATCATTCATTAGAATTAACCTCTTGCAAATCAAAAAAAATCTTGTGATAGCTCTACAGCCCAGAGACCATAGTCCAATCTGTGACTTGCCATGAGGCCAGCAGTTCCTGCAAACAGTAAGAGTGTAATCATTAAATTGTGTATTTTTCCTTGACTTCTAATCAGAGGTGGCCTTAGGAATAACCCACGTTAATTCTGTAATGCTCTTGGTAAATTATAGCTTTGTTTTCTCAGTACACCCAAGTGGTAGAACTTATCAAGGCTTGAACCACAAACTCAGCCTGAATTTAATCATCACTAATTTTTTCTCTTAATGCTTATGTTGATGAGTTATTTAAGAAGATTGGGAGCAAAACTTATGTAATGGATTTTTAGGTATAGTTACTTAGATGCCAGGATAGGTCTAAAAGAGAAAGATATTCTTCAATACCAGATAATACTCTAGATAGTTCTTTTTTCTATCATAACTTATTTGTTTATTTAATTTAAAAATTTTCTTTTAGATTTGTGGGTACACGAGAAGGTTTGTTACATATATAAACATGTGACATAGGGGTTTGTTGTACATATTATTACATCACCCAGGTATTAAGCCCAGTACTCAATAATTTTCTTTCCTGTTCTCCCTCCTCTCACACTCCCTCCTCAAGTAGACCCCTGTGTCTGTTGTTTACTTCTTTGGGTTCATAAGTTATTCTCATTTAGCTCCCACTTATAAGTGAGAACATGTGGTATTTGGTTTTCTGTTTCTGCATTAGTTTGCTAAGGATTATAGCCTCCAGCTCCATCCATGTTCCTGCAAAAGACATGATCTCATTCTTTTCTATGGCTACGTAATATTCCATGGTGTATGTGTGCCATATTTTCGTTATCTAGTCTGTCATTAATGAGCATTTAGATTGATTCCATGTCTTTGCTATTGTGAACAGTGCTGCAGTGAACATTCATGTGCGTGCATCTTTATGGTAGAATGCTTTATATTCCTCTAGGTATGTACCTACTAATGGCATTGCTGGGTCAAATGGTAGTACTGCTTTTAGCTCTTTGAGGAATCGCCATGCTGCTTTCCACAATGGTTGTACTAATTTACACTCCCACCAACAGTGTGTAAGAGTATGCTTTTCCCCACAACCTCACCAGCATCTGTAATTTTTTGACCCTTTAATAATAGTCATTCTGATTGGTGTGAGATGGTATGTGATATGGTTTGCCTGTGTCCCCACCGAAATCTCAACTTGAATTGTATCTCCCAGAATTCCCACGAAGGACCCAGGGGGAGGTAACTGAATCATGGGGGCAAGTCTTTCCCATGCTAGTCTCATGATAGTGAATAAATTTCACTAGATCTGGTGGGTTTATCAGGGGTTTCTACTTGGGCTTCTTTCTCATTTTCTCTTGCTGCTGCAACTTAAGAAGTGCCTTTTGCCTCCTTCCATGATTCTGAGGCCTTCCCACCCATGTGGAAATGTAAGTCCAATTAAACCTCTTTTTCTTCTCAGTCTTAGGTATGTTATTATCAGCAGTGTAAATACAGGCTAATATAGTAAATTGGTACCAGTAGAGTGAAGCATTGCTCAAAAGATACCCCAAAATGTGGAAGCGACTTTGGAACTGGGTAACAGGCAGAGGTTGGAACAGTTTGGAGGGTTCAGAAGACAGGAAAATGTGGGAAAGTTTGGAACTTCCTAGAGACTTGTTAAATGGCTTTTTCCAAAATACTGATAGCAATATAGATAATAAGATCCAGGCTGAGGTGGGCTCAGGTGGAGATGAGGAACTTGTTGGGAACTGGAAAAAATGTGACTCTTGCTATGTTTTAGCAAAGACACTGGTGGCATTTTGCCCCTGCCCTAGAGATTTGTGGAACTTTAAACTTGAGAGAGATGATTTAGGGTATCTAGTGAAAAAAATTTCTAAGCAGCAAAGCATTCAAGAAGTGACTTGGGTGCTGTTAAAGGCATTCCGTTTTAAAAGGGAAACAGAGCATAAAAGTTTAGAAAATTTGCAGCCTGACTATGCTATAGAAAAGAAAAACCTGTTTTCTGAGGAGAAATTCAAGCTGGCTGCAGAAATTTGCATTAGCAGCAAGGAGCATATTGTTAATCCTCAATACCATGGGGAAAATGTCTCCAGGGCATGTCAGAGGTCTTCATGGTAGCCCCTCCCATCACAGGCCCCAAGACCTTGGAGGAAAAAGTGCTTTTGTGGGTAGGGCCCAGGGTTTCCCCGTGCTGTGTGCAGCATAGGGACTTGGTGCCCTTTATCCCAGCTGCTCCAGCCATGGCTGAAAAGGGACAACATAGAGTTTCTGAGGGTGGAAGCCCCAAGCCTTGGCAGCTTCCATGTGGTGTTTAATCTGCAGCTGCACAGAAATCAAGAATTGAGGTTTGGGAACCTCCACCTGCATTTCAGAAGACGGATGGAAATGCCTGGATGCCCAGGCAAAAGTTTGCTGCAGGGGCGGGGCCCTCATGGAGAACCTCTGCTAGGGAATTGTGGAAGGAAAATGTGGGGTTGGAGCCCCTACACAGAGTCCCTACTGAGGCACTGCTTAGTGGAGCTGTGAGAAGAGGGCCACCATCCTCCAGACCTTTAAGGAATTTACTTAAGTTCCTTATAGTTGCTGATATTAGACCTTTGTCAGATGCATAGTTTGCAAATATTTTCTCCCATTCTGTAGGTTATGTGTTTACTCTCTTAATAGTTTCTTTTGCTGTGCAGAAGCTCTTAAATTATTTAGATTCCATTTGTCAATTTTTGCTTTTGTGGAGATTACTTTTGGTGTCTTTGTCATGAATCTTTGCCTGTTCCTATGTTCAGAATGGTAGATCCACCAACAGCTTGTGCCGTGTGCCTGGAAAAGTTGCAGACACTCAATGCCAGCCCGTGAAAGCAGCCAGGAAGGAGGCTGTATCCTGCAAAGCTACAGCAGGGGTGTTGCCCAAGACCATCAGAACCATCTTTTGCATCAGCATGACCTGGATGTGAGACCCAGAGTCAAAGGAGATCATTTTGGAGCTTTAAAATTTGACTGCCCCTTTGGCTTTCAGATTTGCATGGCCCTGTGGCCCCTTGTTTTGGCCAATTTCTCCCATTAGGAACAGCCGTATTTACCCAATACCTGTACCCCCATTGTATCTAGGAAGTACCTAGCTTGCTTTTGATTTTACAGGCTCATAGGTGGAAGGGACTTGCCTTGTCTCAGATGAAACTTTGGACTGTGGACTTTTGGGTTAATGCTGAAATGAGTTAAGACTTTAGTGAACTGTTGGGAAGGCATGATTGGTATTGAAACATAAGGACATGGGATTTGGAGGGGCCATGGGTAGAATGATATGGTTTGGCTGTGTCCTCACTGAAATCTCAACTTGAATTGTATCTCCCAGAATTCCCATGTGTTGTGGGAGGGACCCTGGGGGAGGTAATTGAATAACGGGGTCCAGTCTTTCCTGTGCTACTCTTGTGATACAGAATAAGTCTCATGAGATCTGATGGGTTTATAAGGAGTTTCCACTTCTGCATCTTTCTCATTTTCTCTTGCTGCTGCCATCTAAGAAGTGCCTTTCACCTCCTGCCATAATTCTGAGGCCTCCCCAGCTATGTGGAACTGTAAGCCTAATTAAACCTCTTTTTCTTTTGTACCTCAGGTATGTCTTTTTTTTTTTTTTTTTTTTTTGAGATGGAGTCTCACTCTGTTGCCCAGGCTGGAGGGCAGTGGCACGATCTCAGCTCACTGCAAGCTCTGCCTCCTGGGTTCATGCCATTCTCCTGCCTCAGCCTCCTGAGTAGCAGGGACTACAGGTGCCCACCACCATGCCTGGCTAATTTTTTTGTATTTTTAATAGAGATGGGGTTTCACTGTGTTAGCCAGGATGGTCTCGATCTCCTGACTTTGTGATCCGCCCCCCTTGGCCTCCCAAAGTGCTGGGATTACAGGTGTGAGCCACCGCACCTGGCCCACCTCAGGTATGTCTTTATCAGCAGTGTGAACACAGACTAATACAGTATCTCATTGTGGTTTTAATTTGCATTTCTCTAATAATCAATTATATTGAGCTTTTTTTTATATGTTTATTGGCCGCATGCATGTCTTCTTTTGAGAAGTGTCAGTTAATGCGCTTTGCCCACTTTTGAATGAGTTTTTTTCTCTTGTAAATTTGCTTAAGTTCCTTATAGATGCTGATATTAGAACTTTGTCAGATGCATAGTTTGCAAATATTTTCTTCCATTCTGTAGATTATGTGTTTACCCTGTTAATAGTTTCTCTTGCTGTGCGGAAGCTCTTAAATTATTTAGATTCCATTTGCCAATTTTTGCTTTTGTGGTGATTACTTTTGGTGTCTTTGTCATGAAATCTTTGCCTGTTTCTATGTTCAGGATGGTATTCCATAGGTTGTCTTCCAGGGTTTTTATAATTTGTGTTTTACATTTAAGTCCATAATCCGTCTTGAGTTGACATTTGTATATAGTATAAGGAAAGGGTCCAGCTTTAATCTTCTGCATATGGCTAGCCAGTTATCCCAGTACTATTTATTGAATAGGGTGTCATTTCCCCATTGTTTGTTTTTGTCAGCTTTGTCAAAGATAAGATGATCATAGATATGCTGCCTCGTTTCTAGTCTCTCTATTCTGTTTCATTGGTCTATGTGCCTGTTTTTGTACAAGTACCATGTTGTTTTGGTCACTGTATCCTTTTAGTATAATTCTAAGTCAGGTAATGTGATTCCTCCAGCTTTGTTCTTTTTGTTTAGGATCACCTTGGCTATTTGGGCTGTTTTTTTGGTTCCATGTATGTTTTAAAGTATATTTTTCTAGTTCTGTAAAGAATGTTGTTGGTGGTTTGATACTAATATCACTGAATCTGTAAATTGCTTTCGGTCGTATAGTCATTTTAATGATGCTAATTCTTCCTATCCATGAGCATAGGATTTTTTAAATTTGTTTTTTGTTCTCTGATTTATTTGAGTGTTGTTTTATAATTCTCATTGTAGAGATCTTTCACTTCCCTAGTTAGCTGTATTTCATTTTGTTTGTATGGCAACTGTCATTTGGATTTGCCATTCTAATTTGGCTCTCAGTTTGGTTGTTGTTGGTATACAGGAATGCTAGTGCTTTTTGTACATTGATTTTGTATCCTAAAACTTTGCTGAAGTTGTTTATCAGCTGAAGGACCTTTTGGGCCAAAAGTATGAGGTTTTCTAGATAAAGAATTTGTCATCTGCAAAGTAAAGACAGTTTGACTTCCTCTCCCCCTATTTGGATGCCCTTTATTTTTTTTTATCTTGCCTGATTGCTCTGGCTAGGATTTCGAATAATATGCTAAATAGAAATCGTGAGAGAGGGCATCCTAGTCTTCTGCCAGTTTTCAAGGGGAAGGCTTCTAGCTTTGGCCCATTCAGTATAATGTTGGCTGTGGTTTTGTCATAGATGACTCTTATCATTTTTAGGTATGTTCCTTCAATACCTAGTTTATTGAGAGTTATTAACATCAAGGAATGTTGAATTTTTCAAAAGCCTTTTCTGCATCTATTGAGGTAATCAAGTGGTTATTGTCTTTAGTTCTGTTTATTTGATGAATCACATTTGTTGATTTTCATATGTAGAACAAAACCTTACCTCCTGGGGATGAAGCTGACTTGCTCATGATGGATTAGCTTTTTGATATGTTGCTGGATTCAGTTTGCAAGTATTTTGTCAAGGATTTTTGCATCAATGTTCACCAAGAATATTGGCCTGAAGTATTCTTTTTTTGTTGTGTCTCTGCCAGGTTTTGTTATCAAGATGATGCTGGCCTCGTAAAGTGAGTTGGAAAGAAGTCCCAACTCCTTTTTGTGAAATAGTTTCTGTAGGAATTAAACCAGCTTTTCTTTGTACACCGAGTAGAATTCAGCTGTGAATCCATCAGGTCCTGTGCTTTTTCTGGTTGGTAGGCTATTTATTACTGATACAATTTCAGAGCATATTATTTGTCTGTCCAGGGAATCAATTTATTCCTGACTCAGTCTTATGAGGGTGTATTTGTCCCAGAATTTATCTGTCTCTTCTAGGTTTTCTAAAACCTAAAATGTCTCGATTTCCTTCAGTTCAGCTCTAATTTTTGTTATTTCTCATCTTTTGCTAGCTTTGGGGTTGATTTTTTCTTGTTTCTCTAATTCTTTCAGTTGCAAAGTTAGGTTGTTAATGTGAAAACTTTCTTACTTTTTGATATGGGCATCAGTGCTATGAATTTCCTTTCACACTGCATTAGCCGTGTCCCAGATATTCTGATAAGTTGTATCTTTGCTCTCATTATTTTCAAAGAACTTCTTGATTTCTGCCTTAATTTTATTATTTATCCAAAAGTTATGCAAGACCATGTTATTTAATTTCCATGTAATTTTATGGTTTTGAACAATTTTCTTTGTGTTGACTTTGATTTTTATTGAGCTGTTGTCCAAGAGTGTGTTTGGTATGATGTTGGTACTTTTACTTTTGTCAAGGATTGTTTTATGTCCAATCATGTGGTTGCTTTTAGAGTATGTGTCATGTAGACATGAGAAAAATGTATATTCTGTTGGTTTTGGGTGAACGCCTATCAACTCTATTTGGTGTAATGCTGAGTTTAGGTCTTGAATATCTGTTAATTTTTGGCCTCAAAAATCTTTCTAATACTGTCAGTAAAGTATTGAAGTCTCCCACTATTATTGTGTGGGAGTGTAAGTCTCTTTGTAGGTCTCCAAGAACTTGCTTTATGAATCTGGGTGCTCCTGTGTAGGGTGCACATATATTTAGAATAGTTAGGCCTTCTTGTTGAATTGAATCCTTTACCATTATGTAATGTCCTTCTTTGTCTTCTTTTGTTGGTTTCAAATGTGTTGTGTCTGAAATTAGGATTGCAACCCCTGTTTTTTTCTGTTTTTCGTTTGCTTAGTAGATTTTTTTTTTCCACTTGCTTATTTTGATCCCATGTGTCATTATGGGTGAGATGGGTCTCTTGAAGATATCTTACCAATGGGCCTTGCTTTTTTAATCCAGCTTGCCATTCTGTGCCTTTTAAGTGGGGAATTTAGCCAGTTTACCCTCTAGGTTAGTATTGATATGTGTGGATTTGATCCTGTCATTGTGCTATTAGCTGGTTATTATGTTGGCTTGTTTGCGTGATTGCTTTACAGTGACACTTGTCTGTGTGTTTAAGTGTGTTTTTGTATTAGCTAGTAGTGGTCTTTCCTTTCTATATTTAGTGCTTCATTCAAGATCTCTTGTAAGGCGGTTGTTGGGAATAAAGTCTCTCAATATTTGCTTATCTGAAAAGGATTTTATTTCTCCTTCACTTGGGAAGCTTAGTTTAGCTGGATATGAAATTCTAGGATGAAGATTTTTTTTCTTTAAGAATGTTAAATATAGGCCCCCAATCTCTTCTGGCTTGTAGGGTTCCAGCTAAGAGGACTGCTGTTAGCTGGATGGGGTTCCCTTTGTAGTGACTTGTTCTTTCTCTCTAGCTGCCTTTTACGTTCTTTCATTAATTTCAGCCTTGGAAAATCTGATGATTATGTGTCTAGGGGATGGTCTTTTCATATAGACTATTTGGGAGTCCTCTGTTTCCTGAATTTGACTGTTGGCCTCTCTAGCAAGGTTGGGGAAGTTTTTATGGGATATATCCTGAAACATATTTTTCAAGTTGTTTGCCTTCTCCTCCTCATTTTCAGGGATGCCAGTGATTTATAGATTTGGCCTCTTTGCATAATCCCATACTTGTTGGAGGTTTTGTTCATTCATTTTTATTCTTTTTTCCTTATTTTTGTCTGGTGTCTTACTTCAGATAATCAGTCTTCAAGTTCTGAGATTCTTTCTTCAGCTTGTTTCATCTTACTGTTAATACTTGTGATTGCATTGTGAAATTCTTATATTATGTTATTCAGCCCTGTCAGACCCGTTAGGTTCTTTTTTATACTGGCTATATTGTCCTTCAGCTCTTGTATCACTATATTATGATTCTTATTTTCCTTGGATTGGGTTTTGCCATCCTCCTGAATCTCAATGATCTTTGGTCCTATCCATATTTAGAATTCTACTTCTGTCATTACAGCCAGTTTGGCCTGGTTAAGGCGCAGTCATTTGGAGGACCTGTGGCACTTTGGCCATTTGAGTTACTAGAGTTCTTGCATTGGTTCTTTCTCATTGTTCCATGTGGGTGTTCCTTTAACTGCAGTGTAGATTGAGTACAATCAATAGACTTATTTTCTGGATATTTTCACCTGGCCAAGGCATTGTGTAGGATCTTTATTTGAAGCTGACTTTTTGACTCTGGTTTCAGAGGTGGATATATTGGTGAGGTATTTTTGGTATTGAAGCTTTGGGGTTTGATTCAGCAGGTGACCTCTTAGGTAGACTACTGCTCGGTTGTGTGGCTCCCCTATGTTTCTTCACATTTCCAACCATGTTCCCTCTCTGTGTTTTGAAAGTGTGGGTTTCTCTACCCCTTAATTGCTGGCTGTAGTTTATGACTTGGCATTCTTGGCCTGCTCACTGCACTTCTGGGGCAATATCGGTGTTTGTGTTCCTTCCCTAAATAAGAGGCAGCAGAGGAAGATATCTCAGCAGTGGTTGTGGCCAAGGCTTATTTGCTTAACTCTTGGGAGCTATATCCCAGAGAGATGCAGGTCAGCACCTCCTCAGTGCATTCAGCCCCAGATGATGGGTTTGTGCTGTGTGCACAAGCCAGGGGCTCCTTGTCTGGTGATGAGCAGTTGGCGATGTGTGGGACTTATGGGAGACGGACTGGCCTCCTTTCCTTGGGTTGACTGCAGCTTGTTGGAGGTGTGGATAAGGCACTTATGGTCTTTGATCCTTGATTAGTCCATGGGTAGCATGGTCAGTTCCCTTGCAGAGACTGTTGCAGAGAGGTTTTCAGTTGCCCCTGAAGGCTCTGTCCAGGTTTGATAGCTCTGGCAGGGGGTGGCTGGAGGCTCAGGCCTGGAGGACTTGCCCAGTGAGAAAACATGGGAATGGGTACCCACATAACAGTCTGGCCACTTTTCCATATAACTGCTTGGGTCTGCTCCAGTCCCTAGTCACCTCAGATTTCTCAGAACCTGGAGATGTCACCAGTGAAAGCTGTGAAACAACAAAATGGCAGCCTATCCCTCCCTCTGGAGCTTTGTCCCAGGGAGGCACAAACCTGTTGCCAGCCCAAAGCACCTGTAGGAAGTGACTGGAGACCCCAGCTGGGAGGTCCTGCCCAGGGAGAAAGAATGGGATTGAGACTCACTTTAAAAAACAGTCTAGCCACATGTTGGTAGAGCAGCCATGCTGTGCTGGGGGTCCACTTCAGCTCCCCCCGCCTATTGTTTCAGACATTCTGAAGCCCAAAGGCTGGAAATACTAAGTCACCCAAACAGCAAAGATGGCAGCCTGCCTCTCCCTCTTGCAGTGCTGTCCTATGGGGAATTCAGATCTCTGTTAGCTAGAGACCTTGGTGGGGGTGGCTGGAGGCCCCAGTTGGGAGTTCTTGCCCATTGAGGAGGAATGGGATTGAACACTCACTTAGAGCAGCAGTCAGCCTACATTTTGGTAGAGCAGCTGTGCTGTACTAGGGTATGCCTTTTGCCCTGGGTCGGCTTAGACTCTCCAAAGCCTGAAGGCTGGAACAGCTAAGACACCCAAACAGCCAAGATGACAGCTCGACCACCCCCCACCCCCAAAGGAGCTCCTTCTTAGAGTAGTGCAATGCCGATACTGGTAGTTAGCTGGAATTCCAAGCCAGTGGGTCTTACCTTGTGAGGTACTGTGGAAGCGGGGCCTGCGGCCTGTTGCTGCTCATCCCGTGGATTCAGTATCTTTCCTAGGGATATGTATATGAGTCTAACCTTCCACTTTGATGGAGCTGCAGCTACTTCTGTCAGAAAGTCAGAGTATCTAAGGCTACAGGGTCTCCACACATGCCTGAGTAGCTGCATGTGTGGAGATTCCATGTAGCTCTGTCTGTCAGACTGAAGACTGAAGTACCTGGTGGAGTGGGTTCAATAGGAAATCTCCTGACTTGAGGGTTACAAAGATCTCTGGGAGAAGCATGGTTTCCCAGGGTCACGCATTCACTCACCACTTCCCTGGTCAGGGATGTTGCTCCCAAGTGGGTGGTTGTCCTATCTTGCTTTACTTCATTGTCTGTGGGTCAGGTTGTTTTCTTGATTAATTCCAATGTGAGTATCTGTATGTTTCATTTGAAGCTGTATTTGCTTGCCCCTTCTGATTTGGTTCCTATCTACTTACATAACTATATTTGCATACTGTGATCAATATTATTATTAAATAGACATATTGTACATGCTGCCCTTGAATTTACCATAGTCTATTTAATAGGTCCACTTATTTGAAGCTGTTAAGTTTTGTTTGTGGCTACTGTGAGATGATTTAATGACTAGGACTGGGAGTACTATGCTCTAATCTGCCTCGTTCCAGTGGCCAGATTTAGTCATGTGACTGTGTCTAGGGACAAGGGAGATGAGAAACATGATCTATCTGCCTCAGTGTTGTGCTTCTGTGGCTTTCCAAGTTTGAGCAGAAAGAACAAAACTGAAATAATTGACTAAAACTTAAAACATTTGAAAAGTAAGTTAAGCTAACTGAAAAATAAATAATCTTATTTAAATCACATAATGGTCTAAATTTCTCCAATGAGCATATTAAAAAAATAAAATAAGTGAGAATAATTACTTTGTACCAATCATACTTATAACTGACCTATTTTGGTAAAGTAAAATTTAACCAATTACTTAGATTTACTTTATTCATATTTATTCTATCCAGAGTATTTTAATACCTATCATATTGCTTCCTTTAAGTTTCTAAAGGAAGAAGCAAGTCTTAAAATAGAACTTAAAAATTAAACCAAAAAATCATAAACAAAAGACATTAGTTGTAACTGCCCCAAATCCCAGAAGTGGGGGGAAAACTCTCAAGTTTAAGCAGACTTATTTTATCTCTGATGTTGTTTCTCTTTGATATTCTTTCCACTGCAGCAAAGGATTCTGACAAAATCAGATGTAATTGAACAAAATGAAAAATTATGTCCTTCTATGCAAAGGTTGCCAAAATACATTTGAATTTTTTTTAATCTTAAATTGTTTTTTCTCTTTTATATTCAAGGCATGTCCATGGATGATGTTGTAAATTTTCTCATGTCCATGACCTTGTCTCTGTAATCTTTGTAGATGGCGATTTTTACAAACACTATTGTATTAGAATTTTCTATAGTGCCTGGATGGCAGCAGATAAAATTGGAATTGGAATAGTTCAATTGGGATGGTGGTTTGGCTAAACATAAAGTTAGAGAACATGAGCCACAAACTCAGGATCTATGAGGAGTGAAGCATTGTCTTATACGCTGCTATGTCCTTGACACTTATAATTCCTATTGCAGAGTAGATATTCAATAATTTTTTGATAAATGAAATAATAATAATATGATTTATCCTGAGAGCTTTGGGATGTATATACTTTAAGCTTTTGGTTGAGAAATAAATGGCACACCTCATCTTATGCCATTGCTATTTATAGAAAGAGGCAGTTGTTCTATAGTGGCAAAATAAGCTTATTATGGAATTAGACTACCTGGGTTCAAATACCTGCTCTGCTACTTACAAATTTTGTGATGTTGGGCAAAATGTGAACCTCTGTGTAATAATTTATCAACTAAAAAATAAGAGATTATAATAGTGCATATTTAGTAAGGTTGATGTGATAATCTAATGTGTTTCTATCAGTGCCTGAGGCAATATAAGAGCTGAATGGACAGTGCTTAGCTCAGTTAATGAAATGTATAGTTAAATTGTGTGCCCACTTATCTCAATAGTCTAATATTATTAACACTTGATAAGTAAATCCAAATATATATGGCACTAAGGTCATTAGTGTTTAATAAATTAATCAGCAGTTTATCTCAAAAAAAATTTTAAAAAGTAAATGGCTTAAGGTTTACATTTCTAAAATATTTTGAAATTAGTCACTTACTCTTTGTGCTTTTCTTTTATTAGAAGTTGTCTCCTATATAGCTTTCCTGTGTCAGTCAGATGAGATTACTTCTTATCATATTTCAGAACAAGTAATAGAAATAAAATGTAAATTGGAAGATTGATTGATAGATGATAGGCAGATAAATAGAGAAATACAATTTTAATATTTCAGAAAATAGTAATATTAAATTGTCCAAAGATGGAGGCCAGGATATAGATTTTACTAATGCTGTACAATGGAAATATGGACTATGAAGAGATGACTTTCAATAAAGCAGTATACTTTCAAACTCCACTTTCTTTAGAAATTATGAATATAGATTCTATTTGGGCTTGTGTCAAAGTAATTTTCCAGGGTGGGAATCTTGCTGCTAGTCATTTTTATTCATTTTATTTGTTTGGATTCACCTTTTTAGTGAAAATTACACATTGGTTTCCACATTTTCTCAGTTGAATGAACATGGTAAACCCAATCCCCAGGTTTCTGAAGTGGAAAGGTAACTGTTAATGTCATCAGCCTGGGAATGTGAAGCTGAAATTGGTGATATACAAACAGTGCCAGTAGTCACTTTCCGTATAGAAATATGATGCAAGGGTTTCCAAAGAGTTTCTTTACAAAAGTAGTAAAATAGCTTTTCATTGTATAACCTGATCATCTTTTTCAAAGAAAGTATAGCTGGTTGGTCATTCTGAATAATGAGAGATTGAATTTATTCTATAGTTCAGTGAGGAGTGCAAAGAGTAGAATATTATGGTAATAACCTTCTTGAGTTTGCATTTATGTCATTGTAATTCTGCTGTCCTTAGGCAGAAGTTGGTAAAGATTTAGGAACTTTACATGATTCTTCAAAAAACTCAGAGAAAAGAAATCAGTAACATTTAAACTAATAAGACTTTTTAAATTAATGCATTTCATATGAATAACCACTTTGTGGAATTCTTAATCTTTTAGATATAGTCTTATAACATTACCTCTTATTTCTCTTATCCCAAGAGAGAATACAAAAATTCAAACAAGTTTGAGGAAATGTGCAATTAATCCTGGTCCTTCTGGAATATTCACATCACAGTGCATTATTGTCTCCATTTGAAAATTGTAATTATTTGAGATCTCTAATGGATATTATCATTCTCAGATAATAACCAAATGAGGACAAGATAATATGTTCTTGGAAATTTATCATGTAAGTTACAAAATATATTCTTAAAACAGGAAAAAAAGAGATGATAGAAGAGTTAGAGTAGCTTTCAAATGGTGTAATATTATTAATATTGTGGGTATAATCATACATCTATGAGCTAAGTAGACCTAGACAACTGTGTTAGTTGTATCTTGCAACTGGTTTTTCCAACTAATTTAATTGCTCTATTTTGTTTTTTGATCATTAAAATTAGAATAATGACATTATAATGATGTCATGAGATTGTTATGAAAGTTACATGAGGCAGTTACGTGGATTCTATGAGATTATAATAGGTGAGTTTAGATACATCACTTTTTAATTTGAAATCACAAAAATTTACCATAAAGGATTTGCTTTTCACCCACAAATATTTTTTTTCCTGAAATAGGACAGACATTCCTATTTCTAATATTGAGTTTTTAAAATAATAACTATGTAACACTTACTGAATAACCATAAAACCAGGGGTGGTACTAAAAATTTTATGGCTGGTAGGATACAGATAAGGTCAAACCAAAACAGATGCCAAGTATGAGCTGCCAATAAATAAAAACTATTACAAAACAGCTAATTATCCACCCAACAAAAAGATAAATATATAGAGAAAATATATATGTAATTTAAAAAAATGTGCATAGATTATGAGCATCTTAATGATTTCCATTGAAAATGTGTATTTTGACACTGTAATTTCTGTTTGTTTTTGTTTATTATTTTGTCTTGTTCTTAGATGGGAATATATTTTTATATATTTAATAAATATAAAATAACATCTTATATATTAATATATGTAATATTTATAAAATATATATTATATATTTAATATAGTTTTTAAACTAGTCTAATATGCATTGATAGGTGTGTCTTGCTTAAGATTATAGCTGCCATTTATTAATTGACTGCATCAAATAAAAATCATTTATTTTTATTATTTATAAATATATTATTTGTGAATTATTAATAATTTGACTAAATTAAATTTTTTCTCTATATTGCAATAATTGTTATATGGGGTTTCCTACACATTTTGCTATCTTTTCTACATTTTAGAATTTTTGTTAAGTTTAATAAAATATTGACAGATAATTATTTTGAAATTTGCTTTATATTCTGGAATAAAGGTTGGCAGACTTTTTCATTAAAAAGCTAGATAGGCTGGGCGCAGTGGCTCATGCCTGTAATCCCAGCACTTTGGGAGGCCGAGGAGGGCGGAACACAAAGTCAGGAGATCGAGACCATCCTGGCCAACATGGTGAAACCCCGTCTCTACTAAAAATACAAAAATTAGCTGGGTGTGGTGGCTTGCGCCTATAGTCCCAGCTACTTGGGAGGCTGAGGCGGGAGAATCTTTTGAACTTGGAAGGTGGAGGTTGCAGTGAGCCAAGAATGTGACACTGCACTCTAGCCTGGTGACAGAGTGAGGCTCTGTCTCAAAAATAAATAAATAAATAAAATAAAATAAAATCTAGATCATATATTGTATAGGTTTGGGAAACATACAGCATTTGGCTCTGATTCAACCCTGCTGTTGAAGTTGAAACAGCCTTAGATAAAACGTGAATGAATTTGAGTAACTGAGCTAAAAGAAAACTAAATTTACAAAAACAAGTTGCTGGGCTAGATTTGGCTCACGGGCCGTAGTTTGCTGAATCCCTGTTCTGGAGTATTATTTCCCCACCCATAGAGATGTCTATGGAAATGTAATCTGGATTAGTCAGGATTCTCCAGAGAAACAGAACCAACAAGATATATACATATAGATATGAGAAGATGTATTATGGGAATTGGCTCATGAAATTACAGAGGTCAAGGAGTCCCACAGTCTGCCATCTGGAAGCTGGAGAACCAAGAAAGTCAGTGCTGTAATTCAGCCCAGATCTGAAGCCCTGAGAATGAGAGGAGACATGGCGTAAGTCTCATAATTCAAATGCTTAAGCACTTGAAGTTCCCATGTGTGAGAACTTCTCCCAGGAGAAGAAGGATGTCCAGCACCAAAAGAGATAGAAAATGTGCCCTTCTTCTGTCTAATTGCTGTATCCAGGACTTTAGTCAATTGAATAATGTCTAACTCTGTTGGTGGGAAGAGATCTTTATTTATTCTACTTATTCAAATGCTAATTTTCTCTAGAAACACCCTTGCAGACACACCCAGAAATAATGTTTTAAGGGATGCTATCTGGGCAACCCTTAATCCAGTCAAGTTAACACCTAAAATTAACCACTACAGGACATCACAGTCAAGTTGAAACATAAAATAAGCCATTGTATCTGTTTTGTTTACTACCTTATAACTGGTAAACAACAAAATTCCTGGATATAGTATGAATTTAATAATTGTATGGGAAGGGAATAAATAATATAATGTCTTCTCACTGGAAGCATTATTAAATATTTTAGTTTATAGAAATTATATTTAAACTACAATGCAATAGTATATATCCTACTTTCAGCAAAGCTTAAACTCTATTAAAATGTTCCCGGTCATAGAGGATAACCTATTTCCTCAGTGAGAAAAGTATGATTGCATATCACTCTATGAATAATGTATTCAGTCATCCACATATACTACTAATAGCTTGTACAATTTAGTAAGAAGTCTATAACATAAGAAGAAACAAAAAGTACTGCCATTAGGTATCCTTAATTTCTATATTTCATACTGATGGCTGTATGTAAATATTTGTCATGGGAATATATCATTAGCTAATATATATGTTGTATATGCAAGTTTCTCAGAATTTTGAAGCAAATATTCTCATTTAAACACAACAAAATACAATGCTATTTTGTACTAAATTTAATTGTATAAGAGAGAGGTTTCTTCTGAAAACTCAGTTTATTTTATGTTTTATTCAGCATTTCAAATTTTCTACATAAAAGTTACTTAAGAGCAAATTTATTTGAGCAAGTTACAACCTATTTTAGTAGTTAATTGTAGTATTAATATTTGATTCAAGCCTACTAATATTCCTTATTGTAATCAGAATATGTATGTTTTTGTTATTATTCATTGTTAACATTCTTTGAACAAATCACATGGGAATAAAACATTCTTTAGCACATTGAGAGTGCAATCTGAAATAAGGTGTTGTTTTTGTGAGATCCACTAAGCATACTGGTGTAATAATCATAAACAGAAAGTTATCTATAATAGCATTTTTCCCTCAGGAAAATTTATATTTATGTAATATTATGTATTAACACAGATATATATGAGAAATACTAGTCTATAAGAAAACTGTGTTAGAGCTTACCTTTTAATAAAATTAATTTTCATGAATTATCTCATTTAGAAACTGGAAATTTTTCCTAGCACACCAAGTTTCACTTTATGATTAAAATGCATACCATAAAATCTGTAATGTTTATATTATTGCATAATCATCGAGCTTGAAGGAGCCTCAAGTGTTATCTGAAAATTAATACAATAACTTCTTTGTAGATTGCAAAAATTATCATATTTATTGGTACCATTTTTGACCATGAGAAAGCAATACAAATGAATGATGATCAAAATTCCCAGGCCATGTTCACTTCAGTAGTCATTCAATACCCAAGCAAATGCCTTAGTGGTTTTCATGAATGTCAACCGAGATTGACTATTTTAAGTAAATTCCTCAAGTACAGTGAAATAATTGTCATATCCAACATCATCTGTTTTAGTTTTTAAATTTTTTATGCTAGCAAATTTAGATGAAAAAATGAAAGCTCTATTTGCAACTATGTATTAGTAAGAAACAAGACATAAAGACTAAAGAGGAAAAACATTAAAGATTTAGTATAGTCTATTGAACCACAATCTCTTTATGTTTTAACAAAATGTTCCCCACAATGCACAACCGCAAGTTATGACTGCCACTCTATTCTCTATTGTGGCCATACAATCCAGTACTGTGGCCCAGATCTTACCTATGCATCCTAGCTTTACATCTCCTAAGAAATGTATCAGGCATTTTCTCTAGGATGTGCTGTACTCGTCAAAAAGTGTATGATTTAAAAATTCATATAATTTTTTTTTCTCCCTGAGTATTTTTATCTCTGAATAAATAAGACCAGAAAAGTTAAATTTTCTTTTAGGAAAAGTCCCACCAACAATCATTAATGCCTCAAAAATGTTAATTTCTCTATGATCTTCATTGATGTCTTTTGTGTGGGTCAAGATCCTAACTCTTTATTAATAAGATACCCAGCAAAAAATGCCAATACTTTAAGTTTAATCAAAATATCATGAACGTTACTGTCAACTCCATTTCATTGATGTAGGAACTGAGGTTTAGACAGCTTTGACACTTTGCTCAAAACTGCACTGCTGATGAGACTGCGAGAGAGGCTATAAAGAGAAAAAGAAACAGACAATTAGGGAGAAAAAGGAATAAGGAACGTCTTGGAGAGAGACAGACTACACAACTGAGAGAGTAGAAGAGAAGTAAAATGATGAGGTATTGCATATGCCAACAACTGAATAACACTACCAAATATTGACGCTGTAAAAGATAAATATTAAACACTACAGAACATGGAGCATTTTATTTTCATTTTTAAATTTTAAAAATTGTCACTTTGAAATCACTATGATTTTCTTTGATTTAGCTAATATAATTTGTATCTACTATTAATAATCTTTATAATCTTTAGGATTTTGAGAATGTTTGCAAAAATATTTTCTCTATGTTCGTTTATCATTATTGTTCATTTCTACCCTTCTCTATCAGCACTATCCAGTAGCACTTTCTTCTCTGTCTAATATGGAAGTCGGTAGCCACCTGTCATTATTGAACAGTTGAAATCTGCCTAGTTAGACTGAAGAACTTAATTTTTAATCAATTTAAGTATAAACTGTCTGAATTATCTTCTGAAAAATGACACCAGTAGCTTCTCACTTGGTATGTGCTACCTTAACCATTTAAACATTATTTTATTCCACTTAGGACTCTACTTTGTGTGTGTGCGCATTTGTGTGAGTGCGTTTACATCCCTTTGTTGTCACCCCTATGTAGTCTTACAATTGGCAGTGCTGTCCCATGCAGTCGATTCTGATTCTGTGGGTAGACTGCGTCCTAGAGAATGGCACTCACAGAGTACAGTATTGCTGCAAGGCTGGTGCTTTATCAGCTCCTTCAGAAGATCACTCCTATCCCATATCTGGTCGACTACTTCTGGATGGTGTGATAACTCCTTTGCTATGAAGCATGTCTGCTATTTAAATGCTATATTACGGTATGGTATTCTATATCTATAGATAAAACATTCCGTAAGAACCTGAATAGTGCTGCTGGCTGAGGATCTGATAAGCAGGAAAGGCAAATCCACATCTGGAATACACATCTATTCTTCTCAGGATGAACCTCTGGCCTATTTAGAATAGAAGAAAGGAACCTAATGTAGTTAACTTGCAACCATGTGGCCAAATTAGTATTCTCAGACTAATGAACTCTTGCTCATTTGGTTTCCTGTTCTTACCCCAATGATCAAGCCGACTGATATCCCCAAATCCAATCCCACTGATACTGCATAGGTTCCTACTTGCACTTGCTAGCAACACTGGGATATAAAGCCTTTTTTTTTCCTCATTATTCCCAGCACATCTCCAGCTTGCATATGCTTTGATTTAATATTAGTGGACCTGGAAGTCAGAAGCCTGCAATCTAGGAGTAGAGGTGAGAGAAATCATGCCTTGAGCAAGAGACGTCTCCCCTGAAGTGTATTTTCACACAGGGGAAATGCTAATTTTTTTTTTTTTTTTTTTTGAGACGGAGTCACGCTCTGTCGCCCAGACTGGAGTGCAGTGGTGCAATCTCGGCTCACTGCAAGCTCTGCCTCCCGGGTTCACGCCATTCTCCTGCCTCAGCCTCCTGAGTAGCTGGGACTACAGGCGCCCGCCACCACGCCTGGCTAATTTTTTGTATTTTTTTTAGTAGAGACGGGGTTTCACCGTGTTAGCCAGGATGGTCTCGATTTCCTGACCTCGTGATCTGCCCGCCTCGGACTCCCAAAGTGCTGGGATTACAGGCGTGAGCCACCGTGCTCGGCCGGGAAATGCTAATTCTTATTAGCAAGGGGTGCACTTGCTTTTTGGGCTCTGAGAATTAAAGAAATCGGCAGAGCCATACTCTTATTGGAATCTGCCCAAATGTATTCATCTTATGTGTGAGAAGCCCAGACTTTCTCTACCAGGGCCCTGACCTTGGCATAACAGATTTGCCTTGGCTGATAATTCAATCATCTTTTATGGTTTTCAGCCATAACTATCAAATTCTTAGTAAGCCCATCACTGGTGTCCACACTTCTGCTAGAAAAGATAAAGGCCTCTTTATGTGCTGCAAAGTGTCTCTTTGTCACTCAAAAATCACTTTTACTTTTGATAATCACCTTCAATTTCTTATTGTCCCTCTGAAAAGAATCAACACACTTTAGTTAAAGTGAGACATCTTTAATATATTTACAGTTATTTCCCTCTATAGCTAAAAAAATGCCTGAATCTGGATTTAGTGGCAAAGGCAGGTTACTTCATTGCGATATTTTTTTCCAAATCACAGCCTAAAGAATTTTGAATCTTTGGACTACTACTTTGTGCTAGGAACTATTCAGATCCCACGTACTCCATCAGCCAGTTGGCAAGTGGTCCAATCTCTAAGCCTCATCATATTGTCGATTTCTGAGACCACTTCTGACACAACTACTGTGTCAGTTTTTTTTAAAAAACCACAGTTCAAGATAAAGTTAGAATTGCAAGTGATTTATTGTGAGTCAAGCCTGTGCCAGACAAAGTTGAAAGAGAATGTATAGACAGGAAGAGCTTCAGGCTGTGGTGCAGGTCTGCTACCTACAAAAGGAGAGAAGAAAAGAATATTTCAGAGAAGCCCAGAATCTAGAACAGCTCTGAGAAAGTCCCAGCCATTCTAATGTGGAGTTCAAGTGCAAATGTTGCCCATTAGAGGAGGATGGCATTGGGCTGAAATTGTGTGCTGCCAGTAGCCTACCATTTTCAGTTTTTTTTTAGAGCTGTTTGGAGACAGCATAGCCTTGGTTCAAATGCTAGAATTGATGCTAAGAGAAGTGCAAACGGGGATTACCATTTAACTGCAATTCTCTTATGAAGCTCCTTTTTGAAAGAAAATCCTGTGGGGGTACTTCCATGTCTGTCACATGTTGAGTATATGTAGAAAGGTCTATGTTGTTTATATTGTCACACATCTTTACCTTCTAGTTATTCATTTATTTATTCATTCATCCAACATGTGTCTGAGTACTTACTTTGTGCCAGACAATAGGGGTTGAGTGGTGAGCAAGAACGTTCTTTCTATGATAAAGTAATTCTAGATTATGAGAAGGACTAGAAAGAAAATACATGAATACTGTGTAAAGAGTAAATGCACCAAGGAAGGAAGAGTGAGGCTGTTTGGCTGGTTGGTTAGAAAATTATTTCTATGGTGGCATTTAATTTGAAAGCTAAAGAATATGTATAAACTGGCCATTGCTAGATCAAGGGAAAAAGCATTTTAACTAAGTGAAAAAAAAAATAAATGTGAAGCATGAAATAGAAAGAGCATGGTGTGCTCCAGGAATTGAGAAAAAAAAAATAGTATGAATCGAAAATACTACATAAGAATGAGAAAAGAGGAAGTAGGCAGATTATGAAGTCTCTATAAGCTCAGGTGGAGAATTTAACTTTACTTCATATGCCATGAACTATCTACAAATTATTTTGGCCTGGTAAATTATCTGATTGACTCTCTTTAATGAATAACTTGTTGTTTCGTTGATAAATTCAGAGGCAACAAGGGAAGCTAAAATACAAAAATCCATCCTGAAGATACTATAGTATTGCTGAAGAGAGATAGATAAAACTATTCACAGACGTAGGTGTTCAGCTAATGTACGCAAATCTATTTGAGTTGCTAATCTGAATATGCGCTGAATCATTGTTTTCTAATCTCCAAGTCATATATATACAGAAAATCATGAGGGCATCTAAATTAGCCTAAAGAAAAGATCGCTGACAACACTTAACCCTTCATGGTAATTGAAACGGTTAGGAATTGAAACTATTAGGAAAATGATGGCTTAGTGAATATCTAGACTAGCCTATTAAAGTAGCATATGCCTACTGGCCTATTATGCATAAATGTCAGATTTATACAGCTAACTCCTTTGTATCAAATCGTAATTATCTCTGTGCTTATCACTGGTGTCTAAAACTCACAGTGTTACGTTTTTTCCCACTGATTTCCTTGATGTTTCTTTACCAGTAGAATGTGATCCTCTTTAAGAGAAAAGAGGTCTTATTTACAGTTATGTCTTTATGTTTCAGCTCATTTCCCAACATAAAATACATCTTCATTAAATGTTTTTTAAGTAAAAAATGAAATACTGATTTAATAGGTTTGAAAACAATCTGGTAATACTTGCTGTGCATATTTGCTTCGTTAGTGACACATGTTATTTAAATAACAGTTATTCAGTATTTGAAAATTAGATTCATATATGTATGGTGAGATCTAATATGGAACTTTATTAGTTGTTTGCTTGCTGATTCTTGATAGATTATGAGAAAATAAATCAGGTGAGGATGCAGATATAGGTATCAGTTGACAGGGAGGGACAAGGAAAAGTTAACAAAGCCACTGTTCATTGATATCAGGATATGACTGGGAAATGACACTTCAAGGTAACTTAAAGAAATGTCTCAGAAAATGGACAGAGGAAAATGATGGGTATTTTTAAAGTCCAAGTGTAATAGTCAACATGTGACCAAGAAAACAGAGGCCACTAAATGCCTCGCAGATTTGAAAGATGTAATATAAGGACGAGGACTTACACCACTGTTGGAAACACTAGGGAAACAAAGGTCAGAGAAACCATCATAAAGTTCCGAAAATCTGTTATTAAAGCTGTTATGATAGAGCAAGGAAGTCACCACAAAATATCTTAACCTGAAGTTCTAAAATGGATGCTTCTCAGGAGCTCACTAAGAAGTCCCTATAAATTGTTTTTACCCTTGCTTCTGGTTGTAAATATTTTTTAGAGCATAATCTTTTTCTTCTCTTTTGCCCTCCGAATCTCATTAGAGTACCTCACATTGAAAACTCTGAACTAGAATCACATATGGAAGGGAATTTGGGAAAATGTCACTCCTGGCGTCGCTTATGAGATGCAGAGATTATAGGTCAAAGAAGAAGGTCAGAATGATGTCATATCAAAATCAGACATGGCACAAACCAACCCTTTGCCAACCCAGCATTTATATCCAGCCCTTTTAACCACACATAATTTCAGAATAAAGTAAAACATACAAACACATTATTATTCTTCCAAACCGGAAGCAATTATTTCTCGTGTAACTGAAGATGTACTCAAACTTTCCCTAAAAATGGAGACACAAAGCGCAAAATTTAATTTTATCAATCTATAAGTGATAATTATATTTTTGGTAGCTCAGTCACAATCATTCTTAGAAATACTGTTACTTAAATATTGAATTGTATGTTTCAGGATAAATAATCACCTTGTTAATTCAAGACAAATGCGTAAAAGGATCATTGTTTGTGTAAAATCTATGAATAACATAATAAAAAAGAAAACAGGTAGCCTAGCTACCACCGTCTTCAATCCTGCAACTGGCCATGTGGTCATAATTTGTAATATAATTTTCTTTCTTCATTGTGCACTACTTGTTTCTTTTCTCCTTGTTGGAAAGCTCAATTGGTTCTTACTTGAAGAGGTAATCTAAAACTTTCTTCCTGAAGGGATTTGACAATCCTGCCTGTTTTCAATAACTAGATTTTCATTAATTTTTTTCTGTGAGCATGGGATAAAAAGCAAAGGCCCAGATAATCTTCTGGGTTGCAAATATATCTCTTCTTGATTTTATTGTGTAGTAACCATTCTGTTTCTTCCCGAAAATAACAATCAACCTAGTTAGTACAGTAACTCGCTTAATTGTCTGTAGTTTCAATGGCAAGGGTTGTTCAAAATGGTCAGGTGATGATCTAAGCTTCCAGTTTAATGGAAACCTTATAGGCTCCTCTCATCCGGTAGATCTTACCAATTGGAGATAAAAAGACTTTTTTTTTCTTTTTTATTTGCTAGTGTATGCCTATAATTAGAAGTAATAGAGGTAGAGGTCACTCCCATTTCCACATCTTTGTTTTCATATATTTCCATATCCTGGCTATGGGGAAAACGGCACATTGTATTGGTTGCTGGTAAAAAGGCATGAACTACATCATAAACTACATGCTGGTAACAAGCATAAACTACATCACAGGACAGCACTTCAACAGTGATAGTGGTCACCACTCAGCCAGTGCCATAAATGAGTTCACAGTAGACCAGTCTATCAGGCAAGCTGCTTTGGGGAAAGAGTTGTGTAAAATATTTTAAAATTATCTGACCTTAGTCTTACTACCTCACTTTATTTTCTCTATTGTGAGTTCCCTGGACAAAATTGATATTTTGAGGAATAAAATGGAGATGAACAAAATATTATGTAAATCCATATGATGGTGCTTTTGAGATAGGTATTTTCAGCTAGAAAGTCAAATCTATATCCAGAAAGTCGAATCTATTTCCAGAAAAATTACCTCTTCTAGTGATGACACATCAATGCCCTCTATTTGATGAAGGGGTCCAGTGTACTCAACATGCCAACATACTGGATAATATTGGAATACGGTAGCTCAGTTTTGTTCTCCGCTGTTAACAGGTTAGAACTAAGCATTGGCCACAGCAGGATCTGTCTTTGTGAAGCTTGGAATTGTTACAGAGACTTCTTTGTCTCCAGTAAATCTAGCAGCTTTATGGATTATTTGGTTAATGGGGGCCAATAGCATGCTGAATGATGTATAAGTCGCCTGTAACATACACAGACTCTCCTAAGCATGATGTCTTTCTTGGTGGTCGGAAATGCCATTTATAGCATGGCCTTAACATTGTAGGGAATATGTCAACATACTTCAGTCCACTGGAAGCCTAGAAACATTACTGAGCTAATGGGCTTCTGATCTCCGGGGTCACAGTTCACACTCTTTTTCATACTTGCTTCTAAACCAGGCATGTAAGGTACTCAGTATTAGTTGGGGACCAGTTATAATCAATGTTGTCTCATTTTTATTGCACACCTATCCAACTTTCTACTGATAGCCTGTGTGCTTTCTCTAAACACACTTTGCTAAACTTTCTGCACACAGAAAATATTGTAGAATTGACATCCTTCCCTCAGAAGCAGACCTCAACCAAAGCCTAAAGAAAAACAGAATACACATACTTCAGCTCACTTGCCCTTTAAGCAGGATAATTAGTAAATACATGTTTTATTCTGGCTTCTGGACTTTCTCAGTGGGATTAGGCTCCAAATGCTTAGTGATAACTTGACTGATAACAACCCTTTATAGGCTACCTTCCTTTTTTTGGTACTATGACCTGATTTTTCTACCTGAGCTGACCTTCACAGTGAACTACATAGAATCAAGATGTGGTCTCAAGACCTGGTTCTGAGAAAGGCAAATAAAGACACTATGTTTTCCCAGGAATACCTTAATAAATTAATCAATGTCAACAACAATTTATCTCATATATAAATTGATCTGGCTTCATGGTCACACATAATGTTAGAAACGATTATTTAAATGTAATATAGAATGGTCTTGCCTGTTTGCTTGTGGGCTGGATAGTCCATAAATGGGCAGATATACAGATATGTCCCTTTGGCACTTTTGATATTTCAGAGACTAAGCAGAGTTAATACAAACTCATGTTTTTATGTCTACTAATTTTCATTGGATTTTCACTATTTCTTTCTCTATATCATTCTATTAACTGATTCTGCAAAATTCTATTTAGGTCCAGGCCTTTAAGTAAGGTATAGAAAATTTAAGAAATTAAAATTTATTTTTCTAGTTTTACCAGTACTTGATTGCATAATCTAATCTTGTAATATTTTGTAACTTAGTATAAACACTGACATATCTAAGGAACTGTAAAAGACTCTTTTATTTGCACACTGAAATCAAGCTTCCAATATCGGTGCAATAGTTTCATGGTTAGTTACTACTTGCCAATAATGTGTCCCAAACTAGAAATCATTTCAAGTGGAGAAGAGAAAAAGAAATAAACAGAAAAAGAGAGAGATAGAGAGAATGACACATCTGCACAAATAAATTTGAAACTATGTCAATTACTTGAAAAATCAATTTAATAGTAAGCCTGGTCTTGGTGTGTTTGGTAATTTAAGTTTAAATAACCATTTATACTATGGAGTTATATTTCTTTCATTTAATCAGTAGTATTATGTAATGGCTGGAGAAAAGCCTTAGGGTGCTGAAATAAGAAACAGTTTTAACTTAATTATATGATTGATAAAACCTGTTTGAGACAGAAAACTTAATTCTATGATCAAAGGCAATATCACCGAGAAGCCTTATAGCACTTTCATAGTAGAACAATGGGAGATATACAATTCTGCTTAAATTTATCCCACTAAACAGTTTATAATGAAATACACTGTCACAAGTTCCTTTTCTTCTTTTAAATTGGTAAATAACAAAATAAGAATTTCAACAAGATGGCATAAATTGCCGTTCAAACTGAATAATTCCTTTCGATCTGTATATATAAATAATCCACGCTTGACTTTTTGTAACAACTTGAAGTAAATCATGTGTATATGTTTTCAAAGATTTATAAGATATTTGTTTGATTATGAAATTTACAAGTTTATAAGATTTTAGTGGCAACATTTAAATTAGTCACTGGCTTACTATAAAGAGTTATACAAACATATTTTATATATGCATATACTAAACCTAAGATACTCTGAATATTTTATTTACTTTTAGGAGTGTCATGCAGTTCCTTGATGTCATGAGAGCTACTTAATGACATCAGAAGTGTATATTTTCTAAAGTATTAAATGCGTATGTATGTTTATAAGAGATTACATTCAAGTTAACTCATTTTGATCATTCTATTCCATTCATTTTAATTAAAGTGTTATATTTTATTTCCTATTGTCTTAAAATGCCATTTCCACAATTTAAAATATAATAACAAATTTGTTAAAATTTCCGATCAAAATGATAATCACATTGTCAGTTTTGATTAATTGAAAGAATATGTACTCAAGAGTCATAGAATACCAGGTTTGGATTCTAGAATCTTGTAATATGGATTCCAGAGTAGAAGAGTAGAAAATCGGACTGGCTATTATGAAAACTTTCTCAGCCCCAATTATTTCTATTGTTTGTTTGTTTGTTTAATATTACATAGAATAATGGTTAGGATAATCATGGATATTTAATCTAAGGCACTGAATATATCACACCAATATTACTCAATATATAAAATGTATTATTGCATTTTATTCATATAGTAATTTTTTTTTACCTAGTATTATTTACTTCCCTCATCCATGTACTAGTGAGTGATAGGAACACAAATAATAGCAGAAAAAAGATGTTCTGCTTGAAGTGTATAGTGTCCAGTACACAATATATTAAACATAAATATGCTAATATAGAATTATGCCCAGCGGTTTATGGAAACATAAAGGAGGAAGTTCTTAATTCTGCTTGAGCTGGTAGGAGAAAGACTTAAAGATAAGTTAATATTTGAGCCAAGTCTTGAGGGTGGAATTTGTGTTCTTCAGGTACATCGAGTTAGAAGGTAGAATGGGCAGGGAGGAGAAGATTAAAATGAATAGAAAGTTTTCTAGCAGAGGAAACAGCATATGGAGCAAAAATAAGACTGACATATTTAGCTACCTGATTCTGGAATGTGTGCAACAAAAAGGTTTTATGCCATAAGGAGTCACATAAGCTGTCTTATTCTGTTTTGTGTTGCTATAAAGGAACACCTGAGGCTGGTAATTTATAGAGAAAAGAAGTTTATTTGGCTCACCGTTCTGCAAGCTGTACAAGTCGCATGGATGGCACCAGTGCCTTCATCTGGTGAGGGTCTTAGGTTGCTTCCACTCAAGAAGGAAGGTGAAGGGGAGCCGGTGTGTGCAGAAATCACCTGACAAGAGAGGAAGCAAGAGAGGATGGGGTGCCAGGCTCTTTTTAGCTGCAAGCTCTTGCAGGAACTAGTGAAGCAAAAACTCATTCACCCCTGAGGGAGGGCATTAATCTATTCATGAGGGATTGCCTTGACATAACCAACCTACCATTAAGCTCCACTTCCAACACTGGGATCAAATTTCAACATGAGATTTGGAAGGGACAAATATCCAAACCATAGCAGAAGCCCTCCGGAAAGAAAAAACAATAGCAGACCCATGGATCACCCTCTCCCTACTTGGAGTTAATCAAATTGAGGCACCAATGTTTCTCTACCACAACACCTTATAGACGTAGTATGTATTAAGATTCCCGAGAAGTTATATTAAAATGCTCTTTAGCAGTGTACACCCAATTTTTTAGTTCACTTATTATAAATAAATATGTAATTTATAGCTATATGAATTTTAGCAGACTGAAATATGGAAAATACTTCTTCAGACTTTTCCTATTTGTGTGTCTGGTGAAGTATATACTCTAAAAAATCCAAACCAAAGGACTTGCAGTGAGAACAACTTTCCACACACATTATAAAATTTCTTATGCTATTACAAAAACACATTCTTAGTTTGAAAGAAAAAATAAAAAAGAAAAAGAAGAAGAAGAAGCCACATCTGACTGATTCAGCCCACTCCATAAAGAAATGCAGAGTTGGTAGGGCGTGGTGGCTCACCCCTGTAATCCCAGCACTTTGGGAGGCTCAGGTGGGTGGATCACCTGAGGTCAGGAGTTGGAGACCAGCCTGACCAACATGGTGAAACCCCGTCTCTACCAAAAATACAAAAAATTAGCCAGGCGTGGTGGCGTGTACCTGTAATCCAGGCTACTTGGGAGGCTGAGGCAGGAGAATCACTTGAACCCAAGAGGCGGAGGTTGCAGTGAGCTGAGACTGTGCCACTGCACTCTAGCCTGGGCAACAGAGCCAGACTCCGTTTCAAAAAAAAAAATAAATGCAGAGGCAGGGCGCAGTGACTCATCCCTGTAATCCCAGCATTTTGGGAGGCTGAGGCGGGTGGATCACGAGGTCAGGAAATCGAGACCATCCTGGCTAACACGGTGAAACCCCGTTTCTACTAAAAATATAAAAAATTAGCTAGGCGGGGTGGCGGGTGCTTGTAATCCCAGCTACCTGGGGTGCTGAGGCAGGAGAATGGCGTGAACCCAGGAGGCGGAGCTTGCAGTGAGCAGAGATTGTGCCACTGCACTCCAGCCTGGGCAACAGAGCAAGACTCCATCTCAAAAAAAAAAAAGAAATGCAGAGTTGATGTGTCCCTTGAATCATTATTGTGGTTTCGTTTTAGGTAAGGTTGATGACTTGTGTGAATATGCTTTGATAATTCAATATGTGTGGTTATATATCATCTTACAATGTGGACTTAACTTTTGCCTATAAACTACCTGGAGGATTGAAAATTGTACATAAGAAAGTGACAGGATAAAATATATGTTTACATCTGTTTACATGCTAGACCCATCCGAAAAGTTTTATTGTTTATTGGTATTTAATACTCCTGGATTCCATACCATCTTAATTAAGTATGCTGTGCACTGGCATCTTAAAAAACTTCTCTCCATGGTGTTCTAATTTGCAGCAAGAATTGAAATCCATAAATTTACATATGTCATTCTATTGAGCCCTCAAAAAAGTTTCATTTAAATAAATTTCCAAGCACCTATTATTATTATGGAAAAACTTATTGAATCCTATAATCTCCTCTTATGGTTATATGGAGTAGAAATACTTCACCTTTTCAAACTAAATGGTGTTAATTGTGTCAGAACTTTTTGCCTAAACAGACACAAAAATATAAATAATGACTAAACTAGTCAGTAAAACTTTTTTTTTTTTCAGTGTTTATGTTTGGGTATTAGGGTCAGGATCAAGCATAACCATGACACACAGCATAACTGCAAATCAGAGTTTATCTGGAAAAAAATGTAACATAGAAAATCAATATAATGCTTTTAGTTCCTTAGTTTTCTCCATCTCACAGAAAGGAGTGCTTGGGCTAGGTACACAGGGAACGCTCTTGAAGAGGATCTCCACCCTAGGAGAGAGCAGTGGGTACCAGATCCTTTGATCTGTCTGGTTGACATAAGGCCATAAGGATAAAATGAACATTCTTCCCTCTGATTTTGTCCTCTGGAGGAATCCATTTGACAGTCATAAAAGGCAAGTAGAAATCAAATATTCTTTCAGGCTAATCCAGTTTAGTTCTGAGTCAATTCATTGCTAGTCTACCTTGAGGCATGGAATAGAGAAAAGCCATTATGGTTGTACAGAAGAAAAAAAAATTAAATAAGAATGTTTCCATTCTACTTATGATAGAGTAGCTATTAGCAAGTTTGCCTTCTATCTTAAACAGCTATTAAATCTAGACAACATAGATAGATGATAGATAGCATAAGAGAAGAATAAAAGGTGAGTTTTCACATTTATTTCAGCATTTTCCCTGAGTATGTTTTTCAAAGGTGCACAGGAAAATATAAAGTAAGTTAAAATAATGGCTATAATGTTACATGGATGAAAGAGAGATTGGAAACCATGGCAGCTATAACAGCTAAGTTTTGGAGACAGGATACGAGAAAAGTAGAAACTACATATGCCAGTTTCCAATATCTGTGTAAAAATCCTTTAGTTGTCCTCAACTATACTTATTCAAGGCTAAAGTTTACATAGTTAGGAGAGAACAGATACTGGGAGACTGGGAATCAAATAACATATCAGAGGTCACACGATGCTGACAGTTCTTTGATGTATGAGCTCATTTTGGACAAATATAACTTAGAGAGGATTCTGAATTTAATTGAGGCCTTGAGGAACACTAAGGAAAAGAACTAACAGAAATAAATCTGCCCTAATTGACCCCAAACCAAGTCTCAACAGGGTTAAAAACCAAGTTTCAACAGGGTTAAGGGGATTCAAGAGAATTAGTCTGCATACCAGAACAATTATCAAAGAAGACAACATAACCAAAATCTCAGTAAGAAGTTTCCACAATGTTCAGTAGATGGTAAAAAGCATGAGAGATGTTACGAGATAAATCTATCAGGTGATATTCAGGAGGTAAAGTTTTCAATGGAAGTAGAACCTGAAAATGATCCAGATATTGGAGTAAGCACAAGAATTAACACTGGCGATTGATTAGTTAAATAGAGAAAAGAGTTGACAAAAGGTATAAAAAAGCATGAGTTAGCAGCAGGCTATTGTAGTCTTAGTGAACAGAAAATGGGATTCAAAAACTTGAGTACAATCCAAGAGGAGACATCCAACATGGAAGAGAGGAAGAGAAAAAAATGAAGAGAGAGAAAGATTGTAATAGAGATGTAGTGCACGACAAACTAACAAACATAGAGTAAAAGAGGAGAGAGAAAAAATAAACAGAGCAATTTTATAAAATAAATAATGGAAAATAATTTTCAAAATCTTTTAAAAAGCCGCCAAACTACCTATTCAAGAACATGAGTGAATAAACCACAAGAAGAAATGCAGAAGAAACTTACCTAGGAATATCATCACCAACTGCAGAGAATGAAATATAAATTGTAAATCTTAAAATCAGCTAATGAAAATTTTAAAAAGCATATTTTTATCGATATGAAAAAAACCTGACTTTTCCACAGAAAGTTTGTCTCAGCAGAAGACTTTAAAGTGCTGAAAGACAATAGAATTATTAACAAAAATTCTATATCCAGTGAAAATGTCCTTCAAAGTAAAGATGAAATAATAATATTTTCAGAAAAATGAAAGCTAAGAGAGGTTGTTTCCAAGTAGACCTTCAAAATGGAAAATGCATATATCAAATTAAAGCCAAAAAAGGCTAAGAAGAAATAAACATTACTGGAATGGTTTTTATATTTTATAATACTATTAAATATAAAATGATTTTTATCATTTAAAGCAATATTAAATATACCGTCTTGCATTATCGGACATATGTAAACAAAATGCATAACTAAGATCATGAAAAAGCAGGTAGAGAAAATTAAGTTAATTACAATGATTTTTACATTGTTTTTGATGCTGTAAAAATACTGACTTGTCTCTAATAATAAAAATATGTATTGTTGTTTCTAGCATATTAAGGCTACATTTTAAACTTCTAAGATAACCAGTAGATGTATAGTAATAAAAGGTAGAACAAAAAAATCTAGTCTAAGAGGCAAAATAAGATAACAAAAATATATAATGTACAAGATGCCAAGAAGGGAAGAATAAAGGAACATATGAGACATAGAACACAAAGAACAATATGGCAGATTTGAAACCAACTATATCAGCAATTACATTAAACATAAATGATCTAAACATTCTGATTAAAACATAAAGCTTCACAGGTTAAAAAGGTACCTTTTAAAAACACACATGCATTAAATATAATAAATTATATATCAAGCCTAACACATCCAGAGTGATGCCCCATCTAAAATATGTAGAAATATGGGCAGACTCAGGACTATAGTGTAGGAGTAGGTACTATATAAAGCTCAAATCTAAAATTGATGACATTACCACCATAATGTTTTATTACGGTGCTTTTCTCCCCTGTAAGATAGAGGATGTGCTCTAATGGTGCACATTGCAGAAGTTTATTAGATACAATTTCAATTGTCTTCTTTGGCAGACTTTGTTCTCTACATGCAAAATAGTGATTTTCTAATCGTGCCCTTGCATTATTTTGCATAACGGAGTTCATATTCTATACTCAGGCTATAATGCTACTGAAAGAAGGTGGCATTTACATTGCCTTTAAGTCAGTATTATCTATCAGGATTAGTCTGGAATCCCAAAATGTAAAACATCCAGTTGAAGACTTCAACTATGAATGAATGAAGCAAAACCAAACACTAATCTGGTCCATTAGCCAAACTAGAGGTATAGTCAGTAAAATATAGGATGATGTAAAATACAGAATAATGAAGTTAGAGCAATGAGACTGGAAGAACTCTTGAGGTAGACTGGAGCCTTGTCCATGTAAGTGCACTTCTGTTTTAAAAACAAAAATTCCAGATTTGGTGTCCATCATTTGAGATCTAGTTCTTTGTAACCATGTCATTGCCTCATTTGATCCTCACAGAGACTCTATGATAAGAACATTATTTCTTCCTTTGTTGAGTGAAAACTGAGATCTGTGAGATACGGAGTAATTTGACTAGATTCATATAGACAGCATGAGGTATCACTTCCCTGAAGGGTAAATTACAAAAGGAAAATCAGACATTTGTGCCCAGAATATGCAATCTGATGTTCTTATATACAGCATGCTAGAAATAACATCTTATATACAGCTTATATACATCTTATATACAGCTTATATACATCTTATATACATGCTAGAAATAGCATCTTATATACAGCATGCTAGAAATAACAAAGGTGTCAGAGTAAAGCACACCAGTGTTCAGTCACACCTCTGCCCTGCAAGCTGTGAGATTTGGGTGTCACATTTGACCATTTCTGAGACTAAATTTCCTTATCTGTAGGGTAAGAAAATTTATGCATGCTTTGTATGTCATTGTGGGGATCCAAGTAGTTAAATTTAGAGGGTACCTACCGTAGTAACCATTGTAGTTAGGTTTCATAAAATGATAGCTTTTATTGTTAAAAAATAAAACCAATTATACTTTAAACAAAACAAAACAAAAACACTAGTATAGTCTAATTTTTCTCACTGTGTTTTGATATTTTAAGACCTGAAACTAATATGAAGTTACTAAGGTATTAAACTTCATACAAAATAGCTGAAACTATAAAACCAAGTGTTGACTAATATTATATTTCTTTTTAAGATGTGTTTGTAGTCGTTGTTACTTTAGCTTTGCCTGTTAAATTATTCTGCTGTATAGATAAGTTATATTTTACAAATAATGAGGTAATTGCAGACAGCTCATCTTTTAGAAAAAAAATTAGATACATATATTAACCAATTGACTAATTTACAAATTAGAAAGCCCCCTTTATGAGTCCCACTATATGCCAAGCAGGTAACATAAGTGCTGGTAATGTCACGATGTGTAAATGAGAAAATATTACAGTCTCCAAGGAACTTACAGTCTGATGGAGGAAGACGGACTTGTCATCAACAACAAACACAAAAGAGGCAGAACGAAATATAAGCCCAGTAGAAATATCTAAAGAGTAGTGGAAAAATAAGAGACGCCTCCATGCCTCCAGGGAGAAGGTGGCATTTACATTGCCTTCAAGGATTAAAAAAAATACAGATAACAGGACTCTTCTGGTAGAAATTTTATGTGAGTGCATGAAGGTGTTGGGGGGAAAAAAAACAAACAAGAAAACCAGGATATTTAGGGAAGTGTGAGCAATTCCATTTCCCATGAACACCGCATATTGAGATTGAAATTACTGGTATCTGAAACCTTCTGGGACCTCCAGATATCACATACTTACTGTCTCCTGAGCATAACAAGGGACTGGAACTGTAAATCTATTAGTTTAACTCACTAGCCTGTAGTTGTTTTCTGATCTATATGTATGTTGAAATCATTATGGGACCTATTGAAATTCCAAAGTCTGGGCTTTACTCAGCAGCCTAAGCTCAGATGATACTGTGTGACCAGGGCTGATAACCTCTGACCTCCTTAGGCCAGCCTGGGATGTATGCTAATATGCTGAGTAGACAGACAATAGGTAAGAGTCAAAAGCCTGTCCTTTTAGTTGATTTAAAAAGAAAACTTCTCAAGGTCACTTTCACTCTGCAGGATATAAAATGTACCTTTGGTGTCTTTAGAGAAGAAACTCAGTCTTTCTTGTCTGGTGCTTCAGTGCTTCCAGCAAAGTACTGTGTTCATGGAGTTATTCTTTATAGCTTTACTTATTTATGGAGATGATGTTACAGTCATGTTTAACTCAGAGCTTTCCATTTTTCAATCATTTTCTGGCTGTATACCAAATAATATATATATGTATATATATATATATGATATATAACATATCTTATATAATTATATTTATATATAAATATATTTGAAGTTTATATATGTGTAAGCAACTAAATATATTTAGTACAATGTGTACAATTTATAAAATATTTACTAAAATGATGTAATGTCTTGATATAGTGCATATATTGTGAAAACAGAAAGAAAAGTTGGCAATAGTTAAATAAATACAAATTCAACGATATTATAATTTGTTTTGGAATTCAAAAAGAAAAAAATGAAGGACTGAAAATAGAAATTGGATTTTATTACTAAAAGAGTTTGGCAAAAAAAAAAGGAGCAACATTAGCAGAAAGTTTTGCAAGGTATTTATCTGAAAGATATGGATGGCTCCTTATGAAGTCTTATTAGCAATTGCTATTAACTAATGAAAACATCGTACACACAGAGATAAGTATGAACTTATTTATTGTGAAATTCATTTTTCTTCTCTCACTGCTTTATAATTTCTGCTATTTGCATAATCAGGCTCCTCTTTTGAAGCTTTGAGATGCTGTTAACTCATAAAGACCTTTAAGAAGCAATGTTTTAGAATTTGAATTGTTAATTCAAATATTCAATTTTGATATATTTCAATATTGAAGTCTCTCAATTTATATTTTTCTTTTTAAATTTGGTGGAGGAAATGTAATTTTTTTTTTGGATTTATTCTTTTATTTATTTATTTTTTATTATACTTTAAGTTTTAGGGTACATGTGCACATTGTGCAGGTTAGTTACATATGTATACATGTGCCATGCTGGTGCGCTGCACCCACTAACTCGTCATCTAGCATTAGGTATATCTCCCAATGCTATCCCTCCCCCCTCCCCCCACCCCACTACAGTCCCCAGAGTGTGATATTCCCCTTCCTTTGTCCATGTGATCTCATTGTTCAATTCCCACCTATGAGTGAGAATATGCGGTGTTTGGTTTTTTGTTCTTGTGATAGTTTACTGAGAATGATGATTTCCAATTTCATCCATGTCCCTACAAAGGACATGAACTCATCATTTTTTATGGCTGCATAGTATTCCATGGTGTATATGTGCCACATTTTCTTAATCCAGTCTATCATTGTTGGACATTTGGGTTGGTTCCAAGTCTTTGCTATTGTGAATAATGCCGCAATAAACATACGTGTGCATGTGTCTTTATAGCAGCATGATTTATAGTCATTTGGGTATATACCTAGTAATGGGATGGCTGGGTCAAATGGTATTTCTAGTTCTAGATCCCTGAGGAATCGCCACACTGACTTCCACAATGGTTACACCAAAAGCAATGGCAACAAAAGCCAAAATTGACAAATGGGATCTAATTAAACTAAAGAGCTTCTGCACACCAAAAGAAACTACCATCAGAGTGAACAGGCAACCTACAGAATGGGAGAAAATTTTCGCAACCTACTCATCTGACAAAGGGCTAATATCCAGAATCTACAATGAACTCAAACAAATTTACAAGAAAAAAACAAACAACCCCATCAAAAAGTGGGTGAAGGACATGAACAGACACTTCTCAAAAGAAGACATTTATGCAGCCAAAAAACACAGGAAATGTAATTTTTAAAATTACTGTTGCTGTTGTTGCTCTTTTCATTTATTAATGAACTAATAATCTAAACATAAACCTGGATCAGTCTGAAAATTGAACAGATATGTAATTTCACTCCTTTCTGATAAGCAAATAAAAACAATTCAAAAAAGAAGGAACTACCAGGGAAGGAAAAGACAGCTACATTTTGGAAGCTTGAAAGCAGATTAAAAAAAAAAAAAAAAAGGATTTTACCAAGAATATCAGATCTTAAACTTTTAGTTAAAAAAGCTTGATAACCTGGCCACTATCCCAGTGTTCTATGACTTTTGAAAAATGGAAGATGGTGTGTGAAATAAATGGAGTATTCGATAGGATGCTAGTAGTGTGTTAATAAAAAATAGTAGTGTGTTAATCTGAATTTGAATACATGCACATTCATTACGTTATTATTCTTTAAACTGTATGTATTTTATACCCTATGTCTGAAACATTTTAAAAACAAACAATAAATAGAAATAGACATGAAGTATGAAGTACAATTTGTGCTTTTCATTCTATGTATTTCCTCAATTTTAAAAGAACTGTTCATTTTTCTAATTATCCTTTATTCAATCATTATTCTTTCAGTCATTTTTCCTAACAGATGATATAAAGACTGTATGTGATGAACACAGGTGAATTCAAGGAGGGAGTTAGTAAACGTTTGGGAAATTTTGTGAAAGCAGAGTGTTTACAGATGGTGAGGTAATCCATTGGGATGAGAATGCACAAGAATGAGGCAATTGACTTGGAAGGCCCGAGCAGGTGAGCAAGAGGGCTCTACTGAGTTTCATCACAAAAGCTCAAACTAGATAAAAATGTAAATACAAGGTTAAGAAGCCAGTTCCTATTAACTAGATTAGATTAAAGAAAATAAGGCACAGTGATAAAAAATTATGTCTTTTGATAACAAAGAGTCTTCTTGAATGATAGACTGTTATATGGGTAAGAACACCTGCATCTGTATGAATAGCAAAGATGACCGTAGACTTTATGTAACACAATGGTAGGTGCTAAGACATTATGTCCCAGACCACTCTAATATGAAGTGGTATAAGCCTACTCCCTATATAATAGAAAGAGTAGAACTCATAGTTGTTTGTGTACTTCCTGTCCTGAGCATTTCTTAGGGAAGGAAGGTAAAGCTGTAAAATTTAAAAAAAAATTATGCAAAGAATCAGGAGGTGGATTTGACATACCATCTAGTAAATGTAATGCAAAGCCACTACTATTAAAGCAGCAAGGTATTGTTACCAAAAAAGATTGGTGGAACATTTTTTTTCCCATTATTGAAGCATATGTCTCAAGAAAGGGAGAAGGTGGTCCAGTCTAGTTCCTTATAAATATGCTGATAATATATATGCTGGTTAATATATCAATATAATTTGCTTATTTACAGAACACATTTACCAAGATATACCCAGTTGTTAAAGATTGTTTGTGGTAAATATAACTGAAAACTGTGTCATCTAACAATGTAAAACAGAAATGTTTTGTGAACTAAATGGTCTATTTTTGTGATTAATATACTCCAACATATTAAGTGGAGGCTTCATGTGTTTAAAGCTGGTCCAGGCAACTCCGATGTGGTAACAAGTGACCTGGCCCTAAGACTTCTCCTAGATTCAACTGTGTCTGTGGCTACCTGTCTTATTGAAATAATCCATAATGCTTGAGAGTGGGTAAGATCACTGATTAGTGTCAGTCTAATTTTTAAATTCAGTTTTTCATTTTTCTCAAGGAGAATACAATATAATCCAGCAAGTATGAGAATTTGACATATAAAAAGGTTATATTTTAATTAAAAATTAAGAATGAACACTTATTTGAAAAGATAACTGAAGAGACCAATAGAAAGTTACTAGGGAGTGAAATTTAATGGAAGTAACGACCAAAAAAAAAAAAATTAAGAGTAAAATCCTTAGGGAAATATGAATTATAGCCTGTAGGTAATATAATATTAAATATCTATTTAAAATATTCCCAATGCAATGCAGGTATCATATTCTGAATATATTCCTCATAAAAATTTAAAACAGAAACATTGAAAATATTAGAGAATAATAATTATGTACTTTACCTATGTTCATGATGGATACATACCAACCTTGAAGAAATAAAACGTCCATGGATACTAAACAGAATCGGATATTTAGCAGCCCTTAAAACAATATATCAGTTAACTCGAGGAGATTTATACATTATATTGTTAAGTGGAGAGCAGTATGCACAGAAAATAATGAAATATGCTTTTTTTAATTAAAAAACTGAAGATAAATATAAGCAGCAGATAGATCAATAGATAGATATATTTTTAATATGACAATCTAGGGTACAGAAAATTATAAGAGAGGCTGCTAATTTCTGTCCCTGCATTGGAAGAATGGAGTGGTAAATAAAAGAGGAATAAAAATGGAGAAAGTAAAAAAAAAATATAGTGTTAAAAAAAAGCATTCATGATAAAAGCAATCTGCAATATGATCCCATTTATTGAAAATTAATTATGTGACTGGTTTAACTGCATGCTAAAATTATGGTAATAGAAATTGTGTGTTTTCAAATGATTTTGCTTTGTTTTTCTGATTGTATTCTGTGTTTTTTGACTTTTCAGATAAGCACATGGCATTCCTGAATAAGAATATAATTAAGTTATTTTAATTAAAAAAAAAACAGGTGACTGTGTTTTTACGTTTTCATAACGTATTAATCACATAATGTACCATTTAATGGTTGACCACTTTGTGCTTTGCCTTGTGCTTAGAGGATACAAAGTTGAATAAAACTAATTTAGATTTTAAAACACATTTTTCCTTAATGTAGAAATGTTTGTTATTACATATTTTTTAGAATACTTATCTAACATGCTCTGGAAAAGCACTTTAAATTATTTCCAAAAATCTTACCCATGAACCTAAACATTTTTTAAAATGTGCTTTATGCATATAGATCTTTTATAATTTGCCATATCTTTTATAAACAATTTTTGGCAAATTATTTATAAATTTGCTTGTTTTTGTAATCTAATTTCTTACTAAAATTTCCAGTGTTTTATATTAAAAAATCTTTTTAGCAAGGACAAACAGTTTAGATATATATCTATATAATATAGAAACTTTGAGGATGAGACTTTTTTTCTAGGGGATATACAATATTCCATTTACCTTTGGCCATCAGTGTCTTAGTTGTGATACACTTTGCTGCCAATGGGACAATTGAAGTCAGCTTTATAGGGTAGTGGTTAACAGGATTGGCAGTGAACTTAAATAGGACTGGTTTCTACTCCTGATTGTATCAACTGCCTAGCTAAGTAGATTTTGACAAATAACCTTACTAAGCATCGGTTTCCTTATATCCCATCAAGAAAAAACAAAATCTACCTTGTAGAGCTGTTTTAAGAAATGACATTTATAGAAGGCTAACAGTTATTAATGTAAGTATACAATAAATTAAAACCATTGCTATTATTATTATTAGTGCTATTATTATTAGTGGTGGTGGTGGCGGCATTAGTTGTAGTCATGGTAGGGTAATAATAGTAATGATGAGAGTCGTATACAGGAGATAAGTAAGCATAACTATAAGCAGAATTTTAAAAACTAGGGGGTCACTGTTATAAGCCGTCCATGTTCTGCATAGTTTATGCACATCCAAGTATGGACTTCAAGGATGTTTTGAGCTTACTGAACTTGCATCTTCAAGATAAGGCCTGGAATTTGTTGAAGCTCCCTGAACAATGAAGAAAAAAGGGAAGCTGAGAACAGAAACTCCGATGCCAAAGTGCTGCTGTTGCTACATTATTGGGATGCAGATCACCCCATCAACCACGATTCCAAGCATCCCAGATTCTGTCCCTGCTCTATATTTTATGACTACAAATACAATATATAGCCCACTTTTCTTTATCTTTTCATTAAAAAATTATTACATACTCATGCAATCACAGAGTGATAGCAAAACCAGAGAGTATGTAAGAGTGTGATTTTGATAATGGGTTTCAGGAAAAACCTAAATAAGCAGAGAAAGGAGATTTCAGAGAGATGACAAACATTAAAAAAAAAAAAAAAAAAAGAAGTGTGGAGTCAATGGCAGGGCCTAAAGGAAGGAGGAATAGCTGGCATCAGATCACAGAAAGAAAGACTTAATTGTAGAGGTCATAATAGCAAAATTAGGATTTTTGAAAAAACATATTTTGGAAGTCATACTGGTTTTGCTAACTGAAAGTCTGGGTATTAAGGTCAGGAACAAGCATAAGCATGACACACAGCATAAGTGCAAAGCAAAGTTTATCTGGAAAAAAAATGTAACAGAGAAAATCAATATAATGCTTTTAGTTCCTTAGTTTTCTCCATCTCACAGAAAGGAGTGCTTGGGCTAAGTACACAGGGAACTCTCTTGAAGAGAATCTCCACACTAGAAGAGAGCAGTAGGTACCAGATCCTTTGATCTGTCTTGTTGAGATAAGGCCATAAGGATAAAATGAACATTCTTCCCTCTGATTTTGTCCTCTGGAGGAATCTATTTGCCAGTTATAAAAGGCAAGTAGAAATCGAATAGCCTTTAAGGCTAATCCAGTTTAGTTCTGAGTCAATTCATTGCTAGTCCACCTTGAGGCATGGAATAGAGAAAAGTCATTATGGTTATTCAGAAGAAAAAGAATAATTTTCTCTTCTCAATAAAGTGTGGCCATTGGATTGCAAACTGGAATGGAGAGGAGGAAATGATTACTGGGAATGTGAAAGTCAAGGCAAGGAAGGAGTGGGTGTATTATTGGGGATCATGTAAGTGGCTACTAAATTTCTTAAGAATGAGGACCTTCATTATCATACACCAAAATAATAAAACATAATAAAAATAATAATAAGATACTAACGCGGGTATTCAGTTTCAATGAATGAGAAGGAGTAATGATTTGGTCTTCAAATGATTTTGACAAGTAGAGTTAAACAAGAAATCAGCTGATGGCAAGCATGGAGAAAAGGGTGAAGAAAAGTGGCCCAGTAATGACAAGGCAGAAGATCATCTATCTCAACTCCAGGCACTGTTTTGTTGTACATGGCTGTGAGAGTAATATCACTTTTCTTGTGAGAAACCAAAAATAAAAAAAGAATCTTCAGACAATAGCCAGCTTTCAGTTACAGCAGGTAGCTGCAGAGAATGTTCAAAGAAAAGTTGAAGGACTCAAAGGATTTTGCGGTGTCACACTGAGATCCATCAATGGGCATAATTGGACTGAAGGGATTTCACTAAGACCTGAGGGTATTTCAAGCCAGAGAGTAATTAGAATCATGGTCCTGGTAGATGACCAGAGAAGCTTAAACTTCTGAGAAGGCCTGATAAGCAATCAAATGTGGACAGTGATGGGATTGATATCAATGGCTTGCTAGAGAAAAGAAGGGAATTTATAATTTTTCCTTGATTCTTGGTATAGTTTAATCTTCAGGTCATAGGAGCAAGCCCTTGGTGCTGAGGTCTGGAAAGGGATATATTTAGTAGTGACATGCAAGAGCTATTGTGCAAAGTATTTCAGTTTTAGTTAGGAAGGTGTGAATGTCTGTTACCAAGAGCAAAGAGTGGTCTTAAATTTCAGGGTGTTCCTATGAGTGGTCTCATAGCACAGGGAGATTCTGTCTCAAGATTTTCCTGGTACAATACCATAAATATGTCTTTATGGGCCTGTCTGAAGACTAAAGGACTTACAGTTGTAAGCTTAAAAACTCGCTTCACTATAAAGTTTATTTTCTATTTCAGTACGAGATAAACTGGCATTGTGTCTATTTTTTTCAGTTTTTCTTTCTCAACAATTTGCAAAATTACCATTATGCAAAGGAATATATTTATCACACTAAAATGCAAAAAAATGAAATTTTGTATGTGGCAGAGATCTATCCATTTTTTTGAACAGCATTAAATAGATGGAGTCCTTAAGTATGACAATGCATTATGTTCAAAGAAGAAGAAAAGAAAAATATCCATATAATTTTTTTCCACAATAAGGTAATATGTTCAATATACCAAATAATTAAGAAAAGTAAATTCAAACTAATCTTGGAAAGAGTACTTCAAATAATATTTTAAATTTACTGTTAATTTTTTATGTCTAAATACATAAAAGGAGGGCATATACTCTGCTAATGTAAATAATGACTAATACTTTTGTACAAAATGTTTGCTAAATATTCATACACATTACTGCAAGTATGAAAAGTTGTTTTCATGTGATACAGAATGCTACTCACATTTGAAAACTTACAAGTAGCTATACACATGATATAAAAGAATTTTTGACAATTCCAGGGTTTAAGTCCTTTGTTTTCAAATGCTGGTTCCATATCAAACAAGAGAAAGGTAGAAGACCTTTCATTTGGCAACCCCTTTTTTTTTTCTTTTTTTTCTCAGAGTAGTAAAAATAACTTCAAATCGGGATTTAGGCTGCTCTGTTGAATTGTGGATTTCACACAAAACAGCCTTTTCCCACAGTTGGATTTCAGTGGGAAATAAAATGTATGCAACATTAGGGATTTAAAGCTTTTATTTCTGAATGTCTACCTTAAACTATGATAAAATATTTTGTTTGGTTTCTTTTTTCCACTTTACATACATTACTTTATCTCAGTATTAATAAAGAGGCTTCTATAATATGTAGCTTTATTTATAGGAGCAAGTAGACCCAGAAGACATAAGTCTAAAGGAGCCTGTGAATTTTAAATTAAGTGTCTTTGCCTCAAGAAAACAGTCTTAGCCTCCATGAAGAATTCATCAAGCTGTCTTAACCACTTGAATCTATCTAGCCCTGGGAATACGCATAAGGCTTTATTTCTTCCTTCTTTTTCTTTATTTATAGATGAACAAAATGAAGTTCCCTTTTTTTTGTCCACCTCCTACACTTCAAACACAGAAGTATTTAAAAGCCATTCACTCCATGTTCAATCACCACGTTTTAGTAGTGTCACATTTTATTTGGGGATATGTAAAATTGTGTTTTTTTTTAAAAACATTTGTTTTCCTTTTAAAGAAACGAATTTCCATAATGCACAAGCCTCCGATGGGCACCTCTATTATCTACATTTCATGGATAAGCTTTACCATTGGGGGAAAAAAAAGAAGTTGAATTTTTTTTTGTATTGTCAGTTTTCCTTTGAAGCATCAAATAGGATATTGATATTTTTTCGCACTTAAGCTATTTACTTACTGTGACTTAACGAGCCGTTATAAAGTGAGCCATATCCCCACCGTGCATTTCATACAACTATTACTAGAACTTCTTTTCAGAAGGATTTATCTACTAATCAATATCTTTCTTATTGTGCCATTTCCAGAAATACTAAACAGACTTCTTTCTGAAGCAGGGTTTAACTTTAGCTTTGGTCCACCCGCTCTAAGAGGTGTACAATGTGCAACAGGGACTCTAACAGGTGGATCATGTAGTTTTTGTGATGTGGCTATGGTCACCATTATTTTTGGTTATTTCCAGGGAAGATGAAACTCATTCAATTGCATTATCTGGTAAAAAGCAAAGTCGTTCTAGAAATTTAAAATTATTCTTAAAACCATTATCTTTACTGAAAACAGATATGTCAATTACTGAAAACAGATATGTCAATCATTAATTTTTAGATGTTTAACAATGTTTCTAAAAGACTATTTTAGATTATAAACTCGTAGAGGCACAAGTAAAAAAATTCATCGTTATCAATGATATATATTATCTGTATTTTTTTCTCCTCTTTTTCTTAAAGTTGACATTTTGACACTGAATTGAAATAGGTAGTAGTAAATTCTGCAGGAACCATAAACAAAATTTCTTTTGAGCAACAGCACTCTCCCTGTGATATATATTTTCTACAGATGATTTACAGGTTACAGACATGCTGTGACCTTTCTCTCCCAATTGCAAACAGATTAAGGAGAGCTGATTAACCGAGACTAAAAACACTGGGTCGTTTTCTCTTATGGGGGTCTTTGACAAAGCCCTCCTTTCTGAGTCCTCCCACTTCATTCGCTTGCAAATCATTGTGCCCAAAGAAGTCCTTACTCCCCCAAGCCCAAACCTGGCGCCCTGCAGCGCCATCAGCGGCAATATCTTCCTATTTGAGGGACGTCTCTTATTAATCAGAAACGCTGAATGGAAACCAATCAGATAGAGAGTTCCTTTGCCTTCAGCTTCCTGCCTGTCTGAGTTAAAAGTGATGCTCGAAGAGAAAGCCACACTGAGATGCATGAAGATTCAGCTGTGAAGATACTATAAAAAGGGAAGAGAAGGACCGAGACAGAAGCAACAACGGAACTGTCAGTGCGGAGTAGGGCTAAACTCAGTTCCATTGTTAAGCAAGGTAAGTGTTATTTACTTTGCTTGACAATGTAAGCTATTCAGTTTTTGCTTTCTTATAACGAAGTAGTACAAATATTGCTTTTCTCCTAGTTGCTATATTTTGCTCTCTCTCTCTCTCTCTCAACACTTGGAAGCACATAAGAATACATTTTAGTAGTATTTGAGTAAAATGTTTACATGCTCAGTGACAAAACTTGCAACATTTGCTTCTTATTTTACTTTTGCAAAGCTGATACCTACTCAAGCTCTTTTTATAGTCCTCATATTTGCATATGGAATATTGTCGTAAAAATAAAACTAAACTTAAAATTGTATCAGTTGATTGTGGTGGCTTTCAATTATTCACATATTTATGTGTTCATGTATGTGATTATTATATTAATTTGAAATGGACTCCTGGTCTTCTCATAACTTTTGTTTAAATCACTTGAGTCAAAATTGTCAAAAATAAGGGCATCTTTATTAATAATTGAATAAGAAATGCTTTCTTTATTTTCAATATTATAAATGAAACAATATATGAATAGTAAAAATGCCACAGATGCATATTGGATGTCAGGATTAAGGTGATCACTTTACCTGGTAAAAGAGGTTTCTTCACGTATTTGTGGCTCCCACTCAGGTCGACACTCTGAATGTATACATCTGTGAGCTATAATTGCTTTCTATTATTGTAGGCAAATATGTCTTAATGTAATGATGACTAGATAGATGAAAGCCACAAGAAAGGGAGAGTGTTTCTAAGCCAAAATTGGCATTTAAAAAATTTGAAGTGATGTGGGAAATGCATTGATTTGGTGGAGCATTGTTTTATTGTGTTTTCCATCGCATGCTCAAGATCACCATTCACATCAAATAAATTTTTGCAGGTAGGCTCGTCTCAATAAAGGCTTGGATTTTAGCTATAAGGTCATCAAAATTCTTTAGTATTGACAGTTAGAGACTGTTACCAGGGTGAAATTCTCATAATCTGTTTTAAATAACAAAGGTGTAATAAAAAGAAAGTTATTAACTGTAGTAGATAAGTTTACATTTATTTGTATCATCAACTTTTGATGAAGATATAATGGACTACAGATTGGAGGAGAAATTGGTGGTCTTCTCTGGAGATGTGTTGTCATTTTATATTTTGTATTATAGGTAGATGAGATTCCTAATAGGGATTTTTTCACAAGGTTTCTAAATCTTTTTAGCATGAAGAATGAATGACTTTGTGACATCAAAAAAAGTGGTAACTTTTGCAAGACAGAAGGGAATCTTCCTTCGACTCCCTTTGCTTTATCTATGAATTTGGAAGAGTTACCCATCTTCAGGCACAGCCGTTAAGAATGAATTTGATTATTCAAGATTCTCAATTTTGTAAAAAACCTCCTCCTACATTCTGCAGAAGAAGAATCCTATTTTCCACATTCAGACACTACATCATTGCCTAGGCAATGTGTGTCCATTGTGAAATACATTTTTGCAACTATAAAACTGGCTAATCCAGGTTTGAAACATAGATCTTTTGAAAGATGAGGAAAATGAAATAACATGCTATTACAGCACATAGCACCAAAGAACTTGAACATAACATAAATAGCATGTGTTTGTAGTCTTGTCACCAAATATGTTATGGGTTTGACTAAAGTTTTTCCAAATGAGGAGTAGATAAATAATTATATGCACTTAATAGATATATGCCAACATGTTGAAATACCAACATCTCTATATGTGTTTTGAAAAATGAAAAAAAATGTAAGATAAGTACATATTATGAGCAAATCCAATTCTGGAAATAAATAGAAAAAATGATTTAGAGAAAGCAGAGAGTAGTATGAATTTAAGAATAATTCACTAAAGTCAGACAGATTTGGTAGTACTAATAAAAACAATAGTCCTATGAGATAATAATTTTTCTAGGATAAAAAATATTATTTTTCTTTTATTACAGTATTTGATAGTTTTAAAATATTTGAAATGGTTTACATAACTATGCTACTGTTATTGCATTCATTGCATGAAGGAAATAAAAATGTCTCATACCACTGCCTGTGTGTAAGAAGAGTACAATATCAAAGTTGATCTTGAAATTATTCTTTTAAATGTTGTGTTGCTCAACTTGATAAATCGTGTGTTGAATCAGAAGCTCATCTGAACGTCACCTTACATGGAGGGATTTGTTCTGGTGTTTTCCTGTAACCCCTATACATGCCAAGCTTAGCCAATGCAGTGTCCCGTCCATGGTACATTCACCAAGTAAGATTTTTAAAGCAAAGTTAATTAGATTGTTTTTATTCTACTGGCTTAGCTCTATTCAGGCATCAATAGTGATATGAGGCAGATGCTCCTTCCCCACAATATTTCTACAGTATATGGGTGTAGTTAATAAGAATGCTTTAGAGAGTGCTTACAAATTATATAATATAAAATATGCAATTAATGTGGCAACATATAATATGCAAGAAAGTATAAATTAAGGTGAAAGTTAATTTTAAAAATATGTGTGAATGTGTCATGAATAAACATTGGCTGTAACTTGTTCTCTATGAAAGTAAACAGTCTAGATAGATAATTATTCAATATTAATGCAGATGCTTCAATATAATTTATCATTAATTTGCTATATTCTTTAAGACTAATTTTGCTCACTCAAAGGCACATTTAAATATGATGTAGAAATAATCTTATATTAGAAAAAAGATATCTTAAAAAATGTCCAATGTAATACTTTTGACTTCAAGGACACACATACACACACACCCACACACACCCACACACACACACACACACACACACACACACACACGTCAATAGCAATATTAACATAGAGTAATTTTGATTCATGGTGAGATTTTTTGTAATAAAAACTCTAGTTAGTTTCTTGGGTATTTTGCCTTGTAAATCGTCTGCTTAAAGTTAAATTTTCTTAAAGAAGAAGAAAGCATGCTAAATATAATCCAAAGGACATTGATTTCAAATGAGTCTTGTTTGTTTTTACCTGATGCTAAATTTATAAATATGGTCATTTTTATTGTAGAACATAAAACATGTTTCCTAAGATAAAGCAATTTCTTTCTCTGTATCTTGCATATTTGTTTTCAGAAACAAGTTGTCTTTACAAAGATATCCCGAATAATTCTCAATACCCATGACATTATCTTATTTAGATGTTTACATAAAATTTTGGAACTTTAGAAGAGGAGTTTTAACTCTCTCCATCTTTAATTTGACACATACTAAAGCAGAGGCTTAGAAAGATCAGGTTCCATATCCAAGACTGTCAAGTTAAATATATATATATATATATATACATATGCAATATTATGTGGAAACTTATCCTATTAAGCCATGAAACTCAAATTGGAAATATAGAAAAATACATAAAGAGATGATAGACAGATACATAGAGGATAGATAGATAAATACATAGATGATAGATTAGATAGATAGATAGATAGAGTTGTATAGATTATTGAAAACAATGAATTCTGGATTGTTATAAATAATCTAAAAAAATTTTTTTTCTCTTATGAGTCATTTCAATTTCTCTGCCTGGAAGCACCATTATCCTTATTATTAAAATATGGTAAGGAGTGTACAGTGAGGAAAATGTCTTTATAGCACTCTTCTACATTTCCATAACAGCCCTAACATGTTAATGCACTTATCCCTAAATTTAGCACTAGTAAGACATAGTCTTCTAGCCACATTACAAATGCAAAGTGCCTGAACAAAAGCAGGGTCTCTGGAGCCTGACCAAGAGATTTCATATTAACATTTCCAAGAAACACCTCTCCAAACATAAAAGTCATTATAATGGATCTCATTGGCTATGAGAGGAAAGTGGAAACATCATGGGGTGTTGTGGTCAGATGCTCTGTGTGCGTGTGTGTGTGTGTGTAAGAGAGAGATGTATTATTTATTTATTTATATTTTAGGAATAAAAGTAAAAAAAGTAAAGAGCTGAATATTTTCTTAAAATGACATTCAAAGTTTTTCTGAGATTTTTTTCTATCCTATTAATTTAGCAAATTATAAACCAATTGCAGGAGAAATAAGCATTCTTGTATATCTTCTATTTCTCTTGATGAGCAAGATAATTTTTGATCTCTCTAATTGATCGATGAAACACGAGCATATGATTGTTTCATAAATATGGATTAAAAAGCCAACCCCTCATATCAGATTTTGAAATCGACTTTACAATTCTGAAGAGCATAGATGACTTCATTTTAATTTCTACTCCAAACACTAATTCAATTTACAGTGGAAATAGTAGTAACTAATAATTATTATTTAAATTTGAATATGAAAGATTTAACATGTTCATTAATGTATTCGATGTTGAAAGAAACATTTATCTAACAGAATTTATATTGGAATATGCTGCAGTCGACATACTTTATATATTATTAACACAGTTTCCAAAGTGTAATAAGCTTTTTCCTCATATTTAGTAAAAGAACATCTTTGGAAAGTCATATAAAAAAATAAAGCATATACACCGGAAGCTGTATAACAGGGGAGACAACAAATAATGCATATAACAAAGTGTAATCCAGGCAAAAGAGCAACAGTAATTCACTTCCTGGGTCAAAAGACATTATATAAAATATACTGCTTTTATAAAACTGGGAATTCAGTCTTAAAAGTTGTCTAAGGGAGTTTTCCCCAGACAATCAGCCAACTCTAAAATGTATTTGTATTTTTTTCTACCAAAGCAGGTTACTGTAGTATTATTACATAATTTCTAGAAATATGTTTAAAAATATTCCCATATATATGTTATAAATGCTTCACAATATAAAGAACACATAAAAAAATTGTGTTTTTTTGTTTTTTGTTTTTTTTAAATTTTAATGGTAAGTAAACCGCAGAGGAAATGTAACAGTTTCCTGTTAAGGAAAACTTAACAGTTCAAGAAAACTTAACAGAAAGTTAAGAGTAAACTTAGTTGAAATTACAAAGTGACATCTATCTGTCTGTCTGTCTGTCTGTCTATCTGTCTGTCTATCTATGTCTTTATATCTTTATATCTGCATATGTTTCTTCATTCATATTTCTGTATATCTGTATCTATAGCTATGTCTGTATGTTTGTGTGTGTATGCATCCAGAATACATATGGAAAACAGAAAGAAAGCACAATGAATTAATTCAAAAATTGTGAACATTCAATGTTCACATAAATTAATTATAATATTTAATTATTACAATGTGTAACTGGAGGAACTAAAATAACTCCTTTATTAGTCAATATTAGATATTATATTATAAACAAATGATAAAATACCATTTGAAAATTTTTTATTTTTGGAAAATCTTAAACTCAATTATAGTCCATCTACAATGGTTGACTTGGATAATTTTTTGAATAGGAAAAATTAGAATTTTATTTTTTTAACTGTATCTAGAAATAATTATTCTTTATTGAATGTTCACAATTCTTGAACACCTCACAAAATTTATTATCTTTTTACCCACATTTACAGTGGATGAGAAATATATAACATAGAAGTTAATGCTATCTCAAACTATGTTTAGACAAAAAGTAGATAATTATTATCAGGAAATAAAATTATTATAATTTTACATTAGTCATGTATAATACAAAGCAAATATATTATATGGTGAAATTTTTAATTATTTAGTTGACTATTTTCCCCGAGAGTCAATAAGCTATTAAATGTTTGTTGTATTTCTAGGTAAATTAACAATGTGCTTGATTGTATATTTACTTTATATTAAAAATGATACTAAGTTTAAATAGTATTGCTTTTTTCTTGTGTGTGATCTACAGTAATTCATAAAACAGAGAAATATTTTATTACTACCACTCCTTCTAGATTAATGTCACAACTTATTAATGTTACAACTTAATAAAGCATTTACACATGTATTAAGCAGGGAGTGGAATAGGTTCAACTGTTGGAAGAGAGAAAATAGTTTTCTGCCTCCCCTAAGTTTTGCCAGTTTATCTAGATGATGTGACATATTTAATATGGTTTTAATTCAGCTTTTTCATACACTAGCATTAAATAAGATGTCAGATTCTGACAATACATAATTTTCCAAAAATTAAATAATTAACTATTATAATAATATGTACACTTATTTATTCAAATGATATTCATCTGTCTTTTTTGTTTAGTTTAGAATTCAGATGCCTAATACAATCACTGACAATAAAGAATATTATTACACTTGTAATAAATATATTTATCTTTATAATTATAATGAACTTTAGTTTAAAATATGAAGTTCTATTAAAATACAAATGGTGAATATCAATAATAAAGTGCTCTTAAAAATATTATAGGGCTATTTCAGCATATTAAAATGGAAAGTTTTTATCAATAGTCTGTTCATATTTATACATATCTCTATATATAGACAGCTAAATATATAAATATGTGTTATGTGTCTCACCCTCACAACTTTGGACCTGTGACCTTTGTTAAACTTGGTTTTTCAATAGCTAAATATGTCAGATGATTTTATTTAAATAGGAAAGTAAGTTTCAACTTTGGAATCATTTGTGATTTTAGAAAATTAAGAAGAGAATTGTTCTGATAAAATTTCTTGAAATAAGTATGTGTCACTAGCTACTGGGAGTTCATAAGCATTTATACCCAAAGATTAATGTTGAAACCTACAGAGACCAAATGACAGAATGAAGACACGAGAGGCGTGGGAGTCCATAGCAGACTCAGTAGCACAGTCACACAACCGTTTACATTGAAAAATGTTGCCATTGTAGACCTTTTGCTCCTTCCAGACCTATTAGGCATGCAAGTTTGCTAGTTGACAGATAAAGCATTGGCTTTGGGATCACTGCAACCCTTTATTAAACATGGGCAAGAAAATTCTTCCATAAGCCTAAGACTAAACTAGGTCTGTTGAAGTCTTACATTGAATAAATTTTTAAACACACATTCAGGAAATAATACAATGTTATTGCAGAGTAAATATGTGACTTATGTATGTCTTATATTTATATTGCAATGACCATAAATTGTAATCTTCCTAAATTACAGGAAAATGTGAGTAAAAGGCCTATATAGAGTGTGAGGAGATTTTAACCCAGATTGAAAATTCTACTTCAGTTATCTATTTGAAGAAATGTATCCTAACCACTTAAAAATAATATTTTGTTCTATAAAGTATGAATTTGAAAAGATATCTTGAAAAATAAGTATTTTATCATTTTAGAATTCTATGTATAGTCATACAATATAGCGGTTTTCTATGAATAAGGGATGTTTTATAAACCTTCAGTGGTATGAATTTTTTATTAAAATAGCAGTTGTAATCATTTATCCAATTCTAATTATGTAATGTTTTAGTTATATTTCTTTCTCAGTTTTTGGCTTATGTTAAGCAGCCTTGTATGAAAGTGATCTTTAATTACCTTTATGGTGAGAAAAATTTAAACGTATTAAATAACCAACTTGAAAAAAAGTAGATTTGTAACCAATGTTAGCCTGCAGAAAAGAAAGCATATAAGTTAGGATTACAGAAGATATTTTTAGTAGTTAGCATGTGATTTAAAATGTTCTAGATAACATATACACTAAAAAAATTCAAATAATATACTAAGTATATAATTATATCTAGATGTAAAGAATTACTCTCACTATATTTAATATACTAGATTCATGTGCTGAGTGTTATATGTATTTGCTCCTTTAAATATAATCTTTGAGGAAAGATATCCACACTCATCTCCTTCTGTATTTTTTTGTTATGCTTTAATTCTAAATCATTTGATGGCTAAAATAAAGTTGACTTAGGTTGTATGTTGTCTACTGCTTTCTAACAAATTGAGCATAAATCTATGCTGATACCTAGAAAGCAGTTAAGTCTTCTCCTTGCAATAAACTGTGATGACTTATTTATATTTTTGCTTTTGAGCACCTGTGTTTCTTGACTTCAGTACAGCTTTTTTTTTTTTTTAATCCCTGCTTCTCTGCTACTTCTATTTCCATCCCCCCTGCTTTTCTGCTTTCCCTGGTTCATTATTCCCTACCCCACTCTTTTACTTCAAAGACGGAATAAATTTAACTAAAAGTGCTTCTCCTTTTTAACCTGGCATTCATTTTGGGAGATTATTCAGTTAATTGCTAAAAAAAAAGTGGCTTTTTCAACATCAGAAACTCCTTAGATGTGGAAACTAATAAAAATGGATCAATGTATTTTATGATCAGCTTTAGAACCTCCTCTCCTCTCCCCCATCTCTCCCTACTACGGGAAATGAACCTTACAGGGAGTTGAGTATTGTCAAGGTCACAATTCACGAAGAAGAGATAAGTAGAACGAGGAGAAGTACTTTTACTAACAAGAAGACCTGTCTACTCTTCCAACAATGCAGTCCTGCAGGTATACAGTTGCATGAGAATTTTGGAGAATTGTTAAGAAAAACTGAGGCTTGAAAAGCAAAGGATATCCTTGTATACTTATTACTACCTTTAATGGAGGTAGGTGGAGTGGAGAGACAAAGTGGCAAAATGTTTTTATACTTTCTGCTTGGCCTCGGGAGCCCCATAATTGACGTATCTAACTTTTCACATTAAGAAGCTGATCTTGTGTCTCACTTCCATGTCATAGCGATGTCAGCCCATCTTATAATTTGTAGGTGTAGGAAGCAATGCTTCTCAAAACACCACCACTGTAGTGTGATCTCCCAAATGTGTGCAGATTCCTTGAGAAGTCTATTTGGGATCCTGTATGAGCCCTTCACTTTCCTCTCATTTAGACTCGTAATCAGGAAAAAGATCCTTAGATTTTTTTTGGTAATAATTTATTCATCCATCCATTACCTGATTATGTCATTGCCTTACATTTAAATTTTCTCCTTATTGAACACTTACTACATCTTAGGTACTGTGCTGTGATGAGGCTGCACCTGCTGCGCTGGGAAGAGCACCTTCACTTGTAGACCACTGTTTCAAACAACTTCACATAGAGATTCTTTTCTTGTCATTGTGATAAAATATCTGCTTGTAACTTTCTCTCTCTCTGACTTTGTTTTGTCTAGATAGCTTGGAACTGATCTTTATTCCACCTCTATTTAATAGCATTAAATTCATTCAAAGAAAATTTTGTTTAGCCTACTATATTTTCTCTTCAGTATAAACATCCCACATTACTCCAATTATGTGAGAAATATTTTATAGATCATATCCTACCAGGAACTAACCCTGTGTGAAGTGAATTCTCTTTGATATTGCCTCTAAAATTGAAACCAATAATCTTAATATGAATTAACACAATAATTATGCTATAACATTTCAAATTAGTTTAAGGTCATGTTTTCATTATTCCTCAATGTTTCCAAAAGCTTCGTATAGAAAAAAAAAGTTTCCATGATTTGTAATTATCTCTTTTAAAATAAGATGTTGTCAAATTGAGTGAGATATAACCTTTACTATATCTTACATTGGCCTTTCCTATTTAGTCCTTGGATCATTCTTCTTGAGAAAATTAATACCTCTTTTGCCATAATATTTAAGTAATCTTTTAGTTGTTCACGTGGCCAACAATTCCTTTAACTATTGATACATTCTACAAAATATAATTTTGTCAAGTAAGGATCTGTTCAAGTAATCTTCTCTCTCTGTATCCCTACCAACACTCCATCACATCCAGAAATGTAAGGAAGTACATTTCTTGAATCTAAGTTTTTGGTTTTTGGCAATTGGTTTTTTCCTGTATTTTAATTTTTTTCTGCTATATTCTGAGTCTTAAAATATGGTTTTTCATTTATATCTATAAACCAGTACCTAAAAATGTACTTGAAACAGAATTTTGTCAGGAAATACTTGAGGAATTGAATTATCTCCAAGTGTACTTTCAAAATCACTCTAGTGAAAATCACTCTCGTCAAAACAGATACCACACTTTGTGGAAAAGACTTGTCCTTGCCTGACTTCATGCCCTTTTTCATATGATTTTCTGTTATTCAAATATCATTCTCAACTACCAGTCCATTACAACAGTACCTATCAATTATTAAAGACTATATCAAGCCCTATGCAGTATACAGTAAATTCAGAAAGAGGAGTCTAGGGTATTTATTGTTACCAAGGAATTTTTTTTTTTTTTTGAGACAGGTCTCATTCTGTCGCCCAGGCTGGAGTGTAGTGGCAGGATCTTGGCTCACTGCAACGTCTGCCTCTTGGGTTCAAGTGATTATTGTGATTCAACCTCCCAAGTATCTGGGACTACAGGTGCGTGCCAACATTCCCAGCTAACTTTTGTATTTTTTGGTAGAGATGGGTTTCACCACGTTGGCCAGGCTGGTCTTGAATTCCTGAGCACAAGTGATCTGTCCACTTCAGCTTCCCAAAGTGCTAGGATTACAGGCGTGAGCCACCATGCCTGGCCTAGAAATTCTTGATCACAAAAACCTGAGGGCTACTGCCCTATAATGTCAAAGTATACATTTTAAATAGTCAAAACTATTCTGAAATCTGTCCAAAAATATTGTATTTATGTTTTAATTTGAGTTTACTGGAAGAAAGACTACAGCTTTCATGTTATCCATAGAGAGTTTCATATCCCCCCAAAAATGTATGGACTGCTTAACAGTTCATAAATTGAAACGTGTATGATCAACAACACAATTTTATCAGAATAAAAACAAAAGTGCACTAGGCTGATGATGTCAGCCCCATGCATGTGGAGACCCATGATCTCTTCCCAGCTCCCATATTTACTTTCTCTGTTTTGCTAGTAGGTTATCTTTACTTCTGGGTGCAAATTGTCCCATGTATAAAATGTAGTAAACAAGAAGTTTAGTAGGCAATATTTTTTGATAGTCAGCGTAAGGACAGGTAGAGTCCTGGAGCCAGATATCCTACTTACAAAAATTAGTTATACTCTATACTTCATGTGTGAGTTTGAGAAAGTCTTCTAATGCCTTGGGGCTCCAGGAGCTTCCTGTGCAAAACTAAGATATTAGCAGTAACTACATTGTAGGGTTTTATGAGGAGACACAATTGATGGCTTCTTTAATGACTACCATTATTCTTAAGATGGTTATGGTTCAGGTTCTTTATATCTGGGTAAAGGGTATTGAGACCCACCATATACAAAAGTAGGACAGTGGCCTAGATTAATTTAATGATTAATTTCATTGTTCTTGAAATTAGATAGGCTAAGTCTGAATGTAAATATTCACATCATAAGGTTCCTTAAGTTGACATAGCACACAATGGAAATACTTAATATTTTGAACAATTTTGTGTTGCAAGTTTATATTACTTGAAATTAATATAGAATACTCAATATCATAGATAGAACACTCTACACTTTATCGCTTGAAGTTAAAATGAGTATACTACTCATGGATCTTGGAGATGTGAGTGAATGATGAAAGTCTTTTAAGTCAATAATAATAAAATTTCATAGGCTCTCATATCATAATCTATTTTAATGCCAAGTATTTGAGTTTGGTTTTTTAATCTATTTACGACTTCCCCCTTTTAGTCTTGAATTGCATTAACAACTGTAAAGTGAATGCCATTCTTGACCTTAAAATGACTACAACTTATGAAAGATGATTCATTTATATAAGGATTTTATTGTGGTTTGAAAAATATGATTCTAACAAAAATGGTAATAATGATTGCATACTTGCAAGTAACATTCACCAAAATTAATTTGAACAGTATATTTTTGGTGAATGTTAATGATTTACTGGTTTTCCTAATGCATTGTCAACTGGAGTTAATGTTTATAAAATATACAAAATATTTAAATTTATAGTATTTACTAATTTTTTTTCTATAGTCAAGCATTAGCACCAAATGTTTGTTCAAACTTTACTATGCATCATACATTTTTCTGGGTGCTAATATTGTAGCAGTGAGTATGATACAAAGTTTTTAATCACAAGAAGGTATTTTCTAGAGGAGTGATACAAATAACAAAAAGAATAATTAAAATATTTTTAAATTCTGTGTAAACAGGTGGTATAATGGAGAGTGATTGGAGAGGTAAGTAGAGCTTTATGAACTTGGTGAGGGAGGTTTCTTGGAGAAGGTGACATTTGAATTGGATCCAAATGAGGAGAAGGAAATATTATGACACATACCATTTTGGGTAGCAAAAATGACAGGTGAAACAGCCCTGGTATGTTAACGAAATTTACTCATGTTAGAATAGAATTCTAACTCTAGTTAATTTAATTCATAAACCCCACATTGTTATATTATGCTTATCTCAGCAATTATAAACATATAATAAGAATGTGAACTGGACACTTTCCATTTCTTGTTTCAGTGTTTTATTAATTAAAACCTACATTCTATTTTTTTCTTGCTTGATTAAATAAGATATTCCAATATGATATAATGTTCATCTTTTTATGTATACAAAGTTAGAATTTCATTAAATATTGCTATTAATAAATTTCAAACAGAGAGTTCAAGCAGCTACTATAAAGTATTAAAATTTTAACTGTGAGTGTCCAAAAAACTTAGTTCTCCAGTGCCTCCTGGTTATAAGTGAAAGACTCACTGAAGCTAAGGCAGGAAGTGGGAACTTAGTGTAAGAATATATATCAGTATATGTCTCTGTCAACTTCTGCATCTTTATTTATAATAATACAGGACACAATCTTACAACTCTCCAAAAAATATAATTCTGTTAAATGGATTGACGCTCCTTTAGTCTGAATGTTGAGGGAGGTTCTATTCTTCATGGAGGCACGAGAGAATAAGAACCTGTTGTTCTAGACTTCTCTCAAATGTCGCCAAAGGTCAAGTCCTTCCCTATCTGTGTGATTTTTTATCTTGAACATTTTCCATCCTTTAAGTACAGTTTCCAAAAGAAGGAACCTAATTACACAATGGCATTTCTTCTCTAATTCCCAGAAACTGTTTGTTGTCTTGCAGGTTCCACTGTTAGCACTTTGTCTATTGCTTCATGCCAACCTTTATTTCTTTGGTACTTTTACGGCTTCTCTTCCCTCTTTATTGACTTATTCTTTTGATGATCTCCAGTTAAGCTTTCTGAGTTAATTGTACTAAAGTAGCCTGTGTTTCTTTGTATCAGGACTCTGGTCAGTCTTCTGATTGGTCTCCAGTTATTTTCCGTACCATATCTGTATTAGGTGATGAGCCCAGTCATCTTTTCTTGAATCTCCTGATATGCAATGTATTTACTAAACATTGAACTTTAAGCTTTTAGCAGAATGCTTGGAAAACTTTCCTTAAAAATATCTGTCAGCGTGTTACTCAAAATACATTGATAGGTCTATACCGCTTGTGTGAATTAAACAGTTGTAATGCCAATATTCTTTCCCCAAATAACACACAGATAATATGCTTCTCAATCTACACAATAGATTACACATTTTGGCTGAAATGTTGTAAGAAATAAATAATACCCAATTTGGATTTTTAAGATTATATCACAAAAAAATTAATAGATATTTTCTATAAGGAAATGCAACACTGTATTTTGGGTGAATCCTGTTTTGCTAAATTATTATTTTTTTCTGCATTGCTTAACTATCATACTAAATCATATGCTGCATTGTAAGTGATATGGTATTTATGACTTTTGATCCGTGCTAACTCTATGTCTCCTACTTTCCTGCACCTCCATTCCCAGCTCAAACTACTAGCCCTATGTTTTCAGCTACAGAGTAGAAATCAACTCTAGTATACCTAAATATTAAACGTAATGGTTAAGAATTCAGGCTCTTAGTCAGAACATAAGTTTCAATGTCGTATCAATTAATTTATTTCATTTCTCCAAATATCAGTTTTCTCATGCAAAAATGTAGATAATTAGAATTCTTGGAATTGTTGTTAATGACTGTGGTAATGCAAGTATCAAAGAGTTTATTGTTATTCTTGTTTATTATTATTACATTCACTCAAATATATACTCAAACTGTCAGTTTCTAATAGTGGCTCAAGATAATTTCACTACTGTGTTTGAGAAGAGTAGTAACACTTTTCCTTACATATTTTAGTTTTTCTTGCCTAGACTCTTAGGAAGGTGGAAAACAAAACATAATTATACCTCCAAATAAATGATTGAAAAGATGTTTTGTCCTGACTGGGATTTTACTTGATGTGACACTACATTTTTTCAAAAGAAATTTACACTGGCTTTTAAAAATACCATATAATTAATCATGAATGCAGAGTGGGAGTAACAATAAGAACATATTGAAAAAATTGAAAAATAGTTAAAAATTATGTAAGCAGTCATACTTTCCAAGGGCACAGAGAATAAAAATCTCTATTTATGAGAGTATGAAAAATATATTTGAAAATGTGTGAAAAACATGGTTCTTAGAAAATATTTGTCCAGTTTTCATCATTAATAAAAATAGGGTCAAGTTAAAATGGTTTCTAATGAAATTAAATTCTATGTTTATTTTTATTATTTATTTATTTATTTATTTATTTTTGAGACAGAGTCTAGCTTTGTCACCCAGGCTGGAATGTAGTGGCATAATCTGGGCTCACTGCAACCTCAGCCTCCCGGGTTCAAGCAAACCTCCTACCTCAGCCTCCCGAGTAGATGCAATTGCAGGTGCCCACCACCATGCCCAGCTAAGTGTTGTATTTTTAGTAGAGATGGGGTTTCACCATGTTGGCCAGACTGGTCTTGAACTCCTGACCTCAGGTGATCCGCTGGCCTCAGCCTCCCAAAGTGCTGTGATTACAGGCTTGAGCCACCATGCCTGGCCCTTACATGCTATTTTTAAATAAAAATGTTAATCCTACAAGATTTTATCTCTGTTGGATATAAGAACTTTAAGAAAAGAATGATTCAATATAGTTACGGATTATTACAGCAAGAAGAAAGCAAATTTACAGTATAATTAATTGACTGATTTTACAGGTAAGAATACCAACACCCTGAGAAATTGTTTAAAAAGTGACCCTGCAGCAAACAAACAAATAAACAAAAAAGAGTAGAATCCAGGCCTACTAGAGTAGTTATATAAATAAGAATTCATTATCAATGAGAATCTATATATTTTTACAAAATTATTTTTGTTTCATAATCCTTTACATGTAAAATATGGCATTGTATTAAGCATAAGTAACAAACAGAGAAAAATGAGTACCATTGAATTCACTACTGTGGTTGGGCCTGGCTTTCTATGAAAATCTTCCTAAAACAAAAATATGATGAATCAACCGAGCCTCCCGAGTGAAGAAGAAAGAATTGATTTATGCAAAGTGTCTATTCTGTCTTCCAGTACTAAAGAGTTAACTAAACATTTCCCAAATTGTATGTGGTGGAATTACACTCCACCATATACATTACACCATTAGTATTGTAAAGAGAGCAATGGATGGGAGTCAAAAGATCAGAAAGAGAGGGATCTTGTATTCATTTTCCACACTGGGGCTTAACGTCTTCATTTTTAAAATGATGGAAAGAGGCTAGAAGACATCTAAGGGCTCTTTCAGTTTCAAAGTCATTTACAACTTTGCTTGAAAATAGTCGTATTAAACTTTCAACCACTTTTGTAATAAGCTTCCATCCTATAAGGAAAATAAAAAAAAAAGAACAATACAAATAACTGAACTACTTGGAAGTATCCAAAAGTCTAAATATCATGGCCTCAGAACTGGACTCCCTGAAGACCTTTTCTAAGATGTGGAGTCCTCTGTGTTGGTGACCGGTTTAGCACCAGAACTGAGTCTGTTCCATTGACTTCCATATTGCCTAAATTTTCCCACATGGATATCAGTCTTTCTGTGTATAAAAAGAATGTGGTTTAGAATTTCATTATTGTCCGACATATTCAGAAATGTATTCGTTTACCCTGTCTGCAGAACACTCTGCTTAAACTGTGCAGTCAAGACAGTCACATCTGGCATTACCCCGTAACAAATTCAGTTATCAGCCACCTAAAAGAAACATATGTTTCAGCCATCAGTTATCTATTTTAAATTGTGTGGTATGACTAATTCAATTAGTAATCAACTCATTTGACTGAACTCGTTATATATGTTTATGCAACTATAACATTGTGCTATGTTTGATACTATTTGCATTTACAAATTATTATATCAAGGAATTGTGTGGTATGGAGAAATTTGTCAATACAACTGTTCAATCCTTTGAAGAAGACAACGTATACATGTCAGTCTGACAATTTTAAAGGTAAATGTTGGAATCATTCAAAGAATAAATAATTCTAAGGTCCAATGATCCTTTAAAAAAACTCAATTTGTGAAAAACTAGATTAAAAAAAACATGTACAATCAGTTATTTCATTGAGAGATTATATATTGGCATGTTTCCAAAATTCTGTGCTTGATATTTCATTGGTTTATGTATTAAAAAAATTCTCTGTAAGGAACTTCAGATACTAGACGCATCAGAAATTACTATTCTTAACCGTGTTTTATCTATAGTGTTATGGGAGTAATAAGAAAAGCATGAAGGTGTAAGATAAGCACCCCCAATTCACAAAAGAGCAACACCCTCTGTTTCAATGTAATGTCTGGAGGAAACATAACAACACGAGAGTATCCGATAGTGAATTAAACATTTTGTTTTCACAGTCTATTTACATGAAAATTAATTATTTATAGGTAAATTATCTCCTCTTCTTGTGATTTCCTTCTGGAGTTAGAGATTTCTTCCTGATGTTATGAAGAAGGAAATTAATCTATTCACTAATTAAATTAATCCTGTTGTAAAATGCAGTTTTACAATAAAGTTCTACAGATTCTCTTTTACTCTAGCAATGAACCTTTATTTATAATGATATCTTGCCCCAGTCTATGGGGAACATGAAGAGCAGCTGTGTTGGATAAACCACACATAATTAGCATACAGGATCTCTTTGCCAATGATATTGTTGACGTTATATAAAATCTTATACACTCCTGTTTGGAACTTTATAACTGCATCATATTTTATACTATTTTAAAAGAGTATTCATGAGTATGGACAAAACTTCAATGTTATTAGTCTTACTTGTATAAGTGTAGGGAAATAAATCATGTGATGGAAGTTATATGAGGCTTATATGATTTTTCTCCTTTATAAGACTCAAAATTTAGGAAGAGATTTTAATTAATATTTCTTCCAACTTTTGTAATATATTTTTATTATTTTCTGATTGTTGAAAAACATTTTCTTCTGGGGGAATATACAATTGTAGATCATAAGTGCTGACTATTAATATGTCATTAATAAGTCAACGTCAAACTCAGTTAAATGTACATATAGACACAGTGTGCAATTCATGTGTAAAACTGCTCCAAACCTCACATTCATAAAACCAAACTGCTTAACACAATGCTTTAGCTCCCTCTTTTGGATGGCCCAGATTATAATATGAAAATAGGAGAGACTCCCCTAATATGCCTTCATTTCTACTGGCATTTTATAATATTTGAGTCAATATTTATTCCATGATTAAACTCTATAAAATAATCATTTTCATCAGTTTTCAAAAGAAAGTAAGCCAAATCTACACTTAGAAGTAGTTTTACTAGTTGATTTATCAGCCATTGAACACTTCCCAAAATTAAGGATATATTTTGATAACAGTGTTTAAATACACATTATTCTAAAAGAATTAACCGTCAATTGTATGAGGGTTTTAAAATACTATTTATCCAGATAAAATATCTGAGCTCAATTATCCCATGAACTATGTACTAGCTACACTTAAAGCATTTAATAACCAAGAATAACCTTAAAATGTATTGAACACTAGGCATATATATATATATATAGTGTGTGTGTGTGTGTGTGCGTGTGTGAATTCTTAAATGTTCTTAAAATTTTTTCTCAGTTATTTTCATAATGGCATAGAAAATAATACATCGGATCAAGATGTATAAAACAAAAGTCTGTGCAACTTTCTTAAAAAATATATAATTAACAATAATATGCACAAAATAAACACTTAAGATAGACATATATCTTACCTTATAATAACATCACTTAAAATAATTCAGTACTAACACTAAAATAATTCAAGCTACTGAAAAGCAAATTATCATCACATTTGGTTAATTTTTTTAGTTTATTATTCTGCAGTAATTAAGTATAGTATTTTAATATTTAATAGCAGTAAATGCCAATTGTGTAAATATAAAATTCATGGAATTGTTGGTTTCCAGAAAAAAAGAAGTTAAGTAATTATTTTACACATCTAAAAGTATAAATGCAGAGGTATATTTTCATTTTTATTTTTAAGCTGTTTAAGTGTATTTGCTTAACCCTTACTTTGGAAACAAACAACCATTTTAAATAATTGTTTTTTTAAATTAAATATTAATTGACATGGCATTATTTGTACTCAAAATAACATAGTAGGCAATTCAGATAATTAAGTTTTCATATTTAAATACTATAAGCCTATATTATGAAATATTAATGCCATCACAAGTTATATAAAATAAATTATAATGAATATATTATCACAGTGCAGTCAGAACAAAGAATATAAGTTAATATCACCTGTTCCAGTGGTGTCCACTTTCTAAACCCAACCTTCCAACAGGCTGACACTTCTTGTAATGTATTTAATTTCACAGATACTTCAAATTGCAATCATTGTTTGGAGAACTCAATAATATGAAAAACTTCAAATTCCCTATGTGGTAGACGAATATTAAGAATTTTGCATGTAGAGAAATGACTCTGTCTTAAATTTTCTGTTATATTTAAAACTTATTTTATTTCAAAGGATATATAAGATTATTGTTTCCGACGAGTAAATTTAAAACTCTCTTTCATTTGTGTTGATTTACTTATTTACGTATTTCATAATTGAATGACCAATATTTTCTCAGCTAAATGGGAGCTGAATACTATCTTTGTACTAATTTTTCTTCTCTGTGTGTTAAGAAATATGCAAAAGCTTTACCATGAGCTTGATTTCAGCATATGTAAATGCTACATATAACAATTACATTACCTCAACCTGCTCACAAAGTGACACCAAGATCATAAAAAATAACTCTAGATAATTTGCTAATATTTTCTAATGATAGACTAGAGTGAAACAATTACAAAGTAGACTGGGATTAATTCTAGGTTATAAAATGTGTTAAATAATGTTATTTTTCAAATATTACATACAAATTACTAAGATGGGATTAGCATTTTAGAAAAAAACAAAAGATCAAATTTTAAAAAACATCCAAAAATGTCATTATTTGGAGATAGTCTGGCTAACCTATGACATCAACTTTATTAATATCTGCATCTCCATTGCTATAGTCTCATCTGTAATAGGAGATGTACATCTAGGTTTTCCATTCTTCCATAGCTTTCCTTTCTCGTCATACCCAAATACTTCATTCTAGTTCAACCTTCCATGAAATTGAGTCTACTTCACCAATTATTTCAATTCTGAATTTCACCTGTTACTACTTTTTTTGGGATTCCTCCCACAATTTCTGGGTGGATTTCAGTGCTTAGCCTAAATTAGGTTCCTCTTGTTTATCCCAGCACTATTAATAATAGGACATAATAATATAGTAATAATAATAAAAACGTATTTTACTTTGGGACAAAGGAATAAAGATGATGTAGGGAACACAAAGCCTGAGGAAAGAAAAACTAAAACCCAATAAATCACTGCTAACTCAAAATTCTGTTGTCCTGGTAGTGCCCCAGTCCAGACTGGACTGCTGGACATCTAGGAGTCCTCTGCTCTCTGCTTGCTGCTGTGCAGCTGGTTTACATCTTCCTAACCAAGAGGTACTACCCTGACACGAATTTTAATTTGGGACTCCAAAATACTCAAACCTTCTCAGATTGTAAGACTAGATTTTCAAAAATAATATAATTTACTCTGATAATATTATCCCAGAGGTACCAACATTAAAAAAATACATTATTAAAGGGAATGCTTAATATCTCAGTATGACACATGAGCATTTGGATGTCTCCATTAAAAAGCGTAGGACCATCACTTAGAATATGTCTACATGATTACATGATTTAGAGGGCTCCCTGGGAACAGAAAGATTTCCATAAAGAGAAGTTGAACTTACTAATAGTGGAATCTTAGAAATGAATGCTGTACTTTTTGTTAATAATATTTTGTCTTCAATTACAATTACATATGGGTTAGAAATATTTGATATTTTTATCTCTGAATTTTATATATATTTAATTTTACATATATATTTAATTTTACATGTATGTGTGTATGTATTTAAATCAAGATGATACATACGTGAGGAAAATTCTATATACAATATGTGAAAATAATTTTTTAAAATTCTCTTCCCATATGTAAATAGGAGCTTAAATCAGTTTAAATGGCTTTTCAATTTTGGGGTTACCAAAGTTTATGAAATAACCCATCTGTAATATAGAAGTCAATCCAAATAATCTTCTGAGAAAGAAAATAGATCTTAACCTTTTTTTTGTAAAAGTAAATAAAAAATATGATTTGTGTCTTTCAGCCTTATTAGAACCAACACTTGTTTTTACTATGCTGAATAGAAAAAAATCAAAGTTAATATTACCGTCACATATAAAGCATTTCTCAAAAATTGTCAACATAATTTTCAAAGCATAATATAAATGAGAAAATAAAAAAACAATGTATACTAAAATACGTACTACATCACTACTACAATATAATATACATTAAATAACCTATATGTGAATTAGACAGATAGAAATGGAGATAGATCAAAGAATGCTGGATTCCTGCCAGCTTCTACCTCCCAAGTGTCTTTGCCTTCAGCAATGTGGCTTTCTAAATGCTTTTTAATGGCAACTTTCTAAACAAAATATACTTTGGGTCTTCCGTTGATTTATGAGGTAGTTGGAAAATTTAGCATACTTTATGTGAAACTTGATGACGAAATAAATATAACCGAGAGTTAAAATGTTGAATAAATAAAAACTAAAACTAAAACAAACAAACAAACACAAACACTAAAGAACTAAGTTAGGTCTTAGGCAGAGATATGCTGTGAACAGGCTTTTCACCTACTTAAATGTGGGGCAGGAGAAAATGTTTTGACATTTGGGACTGCTTTGACCTTTGCAGAGCGTTTAGCTTGCCCCCCCAAAAAAAATTTCAGTGGACTCAAGCATTGTGAAACAGAAAAGCAATCCCTTTGAACATTTTTTTAAAAATTCCCTTGAGTGGAAAGCATTTCTTCAGTTGAGGATCACTCATTAAAATAATTAAGGAAAAACAATAATATTTTTGATGTTAGGAAAATAAAGGACAATACCAAAAATAAGAATGAGTCTTTCTGTCACCTCAAATCTCTTCCTCTACTATTTTGTTCCTTCATTCTCAATGTACCTGAAGAGTATGTGTGTCTCTTATGATTAAGGTAATACAAGAATGAAATAATATTTTTTGAAAAGTACTTTGACATATATATGACAAACAGCAACAACAACAAAACAAACAATGAAGAAGAATAGAAGGAACACATAGAAAGAATAGAAAGAAGAATAGAAAGAACAGTTTTGGGCTGAAGAGTTTCTCCAATTATTAAACTTGAAGCTTGTGATATTGGAGAAAAGCAAACAAAGAAATAATTTAAAAATGACAACACTTGTTAACACTCCGGATTTCAGAGCTCCAAGTGATATGGACACAACACTTTAGAAAACTATAAGGATTTAATATTGAATGAATAAAAATGCTCCCTTTATTTCAGTGGATCAAGAAACAACGTGCTCTTTTAAACTTTCTCTGTGCTTCTTTATTTTTTCTCTCAATCTCACCAAAATCTCACAAATAAAAAGCTTATAACCCAAGTTTTGACTCTTAAATGCATTTTTAATGGCTAAAAATAACAGAAATTTATTTTATGGATAATTTGCATATCGGTTTTAAATTACTTTTAGATTTAAAGCTACAACTTTTGGAGAAAATTATGCTGCCAATTATACTAAAATTCCTCTCAAAATCGACAGAACTAAATTCTCAGATTCTGAAATGCAATATTTGGAAAACTCAAAGCTCACAAATACATAAACCTTAAAAATACATTCTTATGAAATGTATAGCACATGCATTTTAAGCATATTGGAAAAGTGGGTTCTCTTTCTGAATTTATGGCATACTCTAATATGTACAATAATTAAACTTTTTTATAAATCCTGTAATTGTGCTCACATGGTGGCATTTTCTGATGAGCAATGTACTTTTTCATCAAACAATGATCTCTCCTCAACCCAGTACAGTCTATTTAGTCTATCACTGAATGATAAAAATGACTTTTAAATGTATGGCTAAAACTTATACTTGACATTATATCAGTGTTCTCGAAAATCCAAGATAAAGTTGATTAATAGTAGATACTCACATGCTGGTATTGTCAAGTTGGAGATTTATTGAGATATTATACTATTCATCTCTGAGGATGGTTACAGTTAAGGAGAAAACAGCTGTTCAAAAGTAGTGATTATTCATATTAAATTATGTGGGAATGTTAAAGGATAGATTATCTCACTAATAAAAATTATGTAAGATGTCAGTACATGTTTGAATTTGTCTTTGTCTGTACAATCCTCTTTCTATTTACCTAAGTCAGTTCTGATGATGACTGATGATGTCTCATTAGATTAGGATGACAAAATCATCAACTAAAAATAATTTTTCATTGTCATTATCAGGAGATAATGACATGGTAAATGTTCTGACTAGTGCTGTTGACACAGGTGACCCTCATATACTTAATAAGCAGAATTCTATTATAAAAGACAGCTCTGAAAAGTGGTGACTCTCATTTGCAAAAGCTTTTGTGTGAAGTGTTTGGCAGAGTGCATGGTTATAATATTATGCAGCAGAAACATGCTTCAAATAATTCTGGGAATCATTATTAATATTTAAGAAAGCATATCATATATTTTATAATTTATATTTATATTTAGTAACAGGCAACTTCCTAAGAGGAAAACATTTGAGGATACTTTTTATTGGCTTTGATAAATATATTTTGGTATATCATATATCTAATGACTAATGATGCTGCTTAAACAACAAACAAATGTTGCTTTGCTAAATACATAGGAAAAAAATTAAAAAGTAAACTGCCCGTATTTTGTGGCAGAGTTAAATGAGGTTTCTTCAGAGAAGTATGCACAAGAAATAAAAGTAATTTCAATAAAGCCTGATTTTAAGAAATTAGCATTGATGCATTTTTACATTTTAGATTTCCTCTTATAGAAAAAAAGTCTTAATAAATATCAATAGTGAGAACACGATCATTTAGAGATAAAATAATACCCTCCTTGGGTATTATTTATATTATAATTCTACCTCCTTGGGTAGAATTCCGTGATTTTGTAACAGGAATATTGCAGTCAGGCCTCTATTAATTTCTTCAATTGTGCAGTAATTCTAATTAAAATTTAACCATTTTTAACTTTACAGTGTTTTAGAAATGGAATCTACTTACGTGAAATATGTGTAAAGTGAAAGATAACATTCAAATTGTTGAAAGTTTTTTACGGTTATGTGATCCTTGCATCGCAGTCTTCTAAAGCACAGACTGAGCACCTTGAGTCACTTTAACTTTTGGTCCGTTATTTATCCTACAAAACCAGATCGTATTTCTACATTAAACTCTGTGGATGTGATAAGGATAATTAATTTTTATTTAAAACACTTTGGATTCACAGATTCTTATTTATTGAAAAACTCTTAGATGAATTGAGGGGTTCAGAGTGGGCAGATCAGGATAAAAATAAAACAGTGAAACAAGAGAAGGTTCTTGTATGAACCAGTGATAATTATAATCCATGAACTGGTAGTATACATAGTTCAACCCTCTGCAAAATGTATTTCTTAATGTTTCCTTATAAATCTATATCTATATTTATATATGTCTATATGTTTATCTGGTATATAAGTATGATGTACATATTTGGTGTGTATATATATGTTAAATAAAAACTGTCTATCATAGATAGTTTTTAGAAAGGAAACACCTGCGATAATTATCTTATTAGTTTTCCAAACTTATACTGCTTTATTTGGATTACAACATAGTGGTTACATTGTGGGTGCTAAAGACAAACTTCCTGAGTAGAAGTCTCAACTACCACTGTCAAAGTCCAGCTTTCACAGGATCCCTAGGAACACAGCTATAGTCAACCACAGTTCGGTGCATTAACTTCCTGCAGCAAGGCTTACTGCCATCATGGGAACTCTTCAGATACTTGGTCGGAAGGGGTTAATATAGAAATATTAGAGCTTCAGAAATGCTGGGGGCACCTAAGGAGTGCTTCAAAAAGCTTGATCTATCCTTGATTGGGTACTGTCAGGAAGTGGGGGTAATTCTGTACTTGTATATTAATTTCTATTTAGGAGGCTGGAAAAACACAGTTTGATGTGATTGATAATGAAGCAGTAACCAGGAAAGGAAGATATCTGGTCATATTTGAGATGTACAGTGGCCTTGCTTTTGTCTGTTCAATCACAGCTGTTGAATGAGCTCAGCTGATGATGATATTCTGTTAAGTTGTTAGTGTTCAGCAAAGAAAACCAACCCTAGTTCCTAGTTGCCAGGGCATGTGCCAGATATCAGTTCTCAAAGCTTATTTCTGCTTTCTTCTTTATCACCTTATAGATGTGTTATCTCAGGAAATATATTTAATTGATCTGAATTTTCATTTTGTATGGGATATAGAATGGGAATAACAGGACCTTCCTCGAGTGAATTTAGACACTGTTACATAATTTAAAATAGGTGTAAGTAATAAATTAAAAACTACAGTTAAAATGGTAAGACAGAGCCTTGAAATCTCAGTGAGCTTAAAACAAATGTAAACAGTATTTTTTTCTTGCAATATATATTCATCACAGGTCGGTTGGTAGGGCTGTAGAGGTGGATTCTTGTCTTCATTTTGGAATCTGGCCTGGAAGTGTTGCTACTTGGCATGGCAAAGGAAAAAGCCCATGGCACGATCATGGAGAAGCTCATAAACCCTTTTTCCAGAAATAACGTATCACATTCACTCAAACTTCAATGGCCAAATAGCCACATATAATAGCGAGATGCTGGTGAAGCCTCATCCTATGTTCGGAAAGAGGGAGACCTAGGGTTGTTTGTGAATAGAGTATGTTAAAAGATAAATGTAGGCATATTAAAATTCTAAAGAGTTTATTTTAGCAGACAGCAATTCATGGATCAGGCAGCACCAGACCTCAAGCAGTTGGATTTCACTGACTGGGTGCAAGGAGAAAACTTTTACAAATGTTTGCAGAAGTCAGGAAAAGAAAATATTTGACTAATTAAACTAAAAAAGTGCCTTAAAGTTCCTAGTTAAACTTTAGGTGCCAGTTTTTGACTGGGTATGCTCAAGTTTTGTATTCCTAGGATATGACCATTTACATTGAGTTGGGTTTAGGTTTACTCATGTAGAGACCCAGGGCCCTGGAGCTGCCTTAATCTAATGACCTCCAAATTGATTATTTTAACAAATAAATGGCCACTGCAAACTGTGAGGCACTTAGGACAAGGCCTGGCCCGTGCTTAATAAATGCTAGTTATAACACTAATAAATGACTATTATTATCATCTCCTTGTTTCACTCACCCTCCCACAGATTTTAATAATAATGGTTCAAACAACATGCGAGTTTGCTCATTTTCAGATGGGCTTTCCAGCTGAAATAAACACTAGAATTTTAATATCAGTGTTTGGCATCAAGATATTAAGGAAATATTCCTTGTAATTTTACTGAGTTCTAATAAGTGATTGGCAAAGGAAAACATGCTAATGTGTTTTTACACGAAAATATTTTTGAAGTTAAGTTAGAGTACATTTTTACACTTTGAAACCAAGGGATACTTTCTTAATTGTTTCTTGTTTGATTTTTTGGGTCTTGTAGATTTTATTTGGCTTGTACAAATAATCTGTAGATCCATTATGATGTTGCCAAATGGTACATTAGACTCATGTTATGCTGGAGACTAATTGAAAGCATTACCATGGTGATTGCTATAGTAACATTTAAATTGGCATTGGTGCCAAGAAATTTTTATTATTGAGCTGATAACATTTATTTTACAGTACAGCCCCAGAATATTAACGGAATTCTGCTGGTGTTTTCATACATATAGACTGAAGAAAAGAGATTTTTAAAATTTGTTTCAAGTATAATAATAGATTATTTAGATAAAATCCTAATGAAATATTCATAATTGCCATCTACAGATTCAGCCAATGGTAGATTGAAAATATTAAAAAATAATAATAATACAGTAACAATAATAACACAAATAAAAACAACGGAGTACAACAGCTTTTTATACAGCATTTAAGTAGAATTACATATTTTAAGTAATCTAGAGATAATTTTAAGTATGTGGGAGAAGTGCATAGGTTGTATGCTGAAAATGTACCATTTTATGTAAGGAAACTGAACATCTGCAAGTTTGGTTATCTAAGGGTATAGTGGATCCTAGTCCCTGTGGATATTGAGGCAAGATTGTATATAGATTTGAAAAGTCCCTATTCTGTTTTGGAATCATAGTGTAGAAAAGAGAGAGTGATATGTCATTTAATAGAGCATTTTTTCTAGACTTTCTAAGAGAATTTGCACCAATGTCATGAGTTTTATTATTATTATAACAAATCTTATTTTACAAATTAGGGAAAAAAATAAGAAACAGAGGCAGAGAGAGAGATTGGTGCCTTGCCAAAAGTTACACAACTACTAAGTAGCACAGCTTTCTAGAACATTTGCAAATATTTACAAGTAGAACTTAAAAACTATTCATATTAACTCTCTGTTCTTTGTAATATGGACTCAATGCTGCTAAAGCATAGCTGAAAAATCTCTTACCTTTATCTGTGATAGTTAAGGAAATATTATACATGAATAATAAAAATTAACTTTAACACTATAAGTTTCCTAAGGCTGCCATAGCAATGCATGACAAACTAGGTGGCTTAAAACAGCAGAAATGTGTTCTCTCTCAGTTCTGGAGGCCTAAATCTGAAAGCAAGGTGTTGATAGGGCCATAGTCCCTCCAAAGATTGTAGCATCTTTCTTTGTCTTTTCTAGCTTCCGGTGTTGTGGTTTCTTGTGCAATCTCTGTCTCCTTCTTCACATGGTCATCTTCCCTCTGTGCCTGCTGTCTGTGTCTCTTCTGCTCTTCTTTTAAGAACCCCAGTAATATTGAGTTATGGTCCATTCTAATTCAGAAAGACTTCGTCTTAACCTGATTACATCGTCAACTGTTCTGTTTCCACGTAAGGTCAGATTCCTAGGTTCCAGGGGTTGGGACTTAAATATATCTTTTGGTGAGACACAGTTCAACCTATAAATAACATGTTCATATTCCAGCAAAATAATCATCAGAACTGTTGACCAAATATTTCTGGCTTTCCCTCACTTAGAGAGATAATAGTCTTGATTGCACTTCTCCCCCACCTCTAACTTTAGAAATAATCGTGGAATTCTTTATGCCCATTGAAATGTGAATGCAAGTGAATGTGTCTCACCTGTGGAAAGCTTAAGGGCCATAAGATTTTCCAGGTTCCCTCTCTTTTCTTGACAATTATGGGAACATGGTGATGGAACTTTCCATTCCTTAGATTCCTGTTGATAAAGTGTTATCAGCCTCCCTGGAAAACCACAGTGGTCATATAGCATAAACAAGAATAAACATTTGCTTTTAAAGACATTGTGGTTTTGAGATTTGTCTGTTTCCACAAAATAACTCATGCCACTGCAACTGGTGCACATATATCTACCAGAAATGAAATGCTGTCTTAAAAGTATGTATGAAATTTGCAGCATTGGCTTAAGGCCTGGCCATCCAGCAGTGAAGAAAGCCTCATTAGAGTCTAAAAAGATGAAGATGAATTTTTCTCGAAGGTGTAACATTTGGTAAAACTGTCACTTGTGATAACTTGGAAGGCAGATCCTGCACTCAATGTAGGATTTTCGGGCAAAATGTGGGAAAACAGAATATTCCTAGGGTGTGCTTGTCACTATGGCTGTATTTTCAAAGTACTGTAAGAAAGGGATAAGTTTAGAAAGTCTTTTGACAAATTATTGGCAAGATGTAAAGTAATGGAGATGAGGCACACATGAGGGATTGCTGGGGTACAGGAAAGATACAAATATCTCTGACACTCCTTGATGAAAGATAGAAATAAGGATACACCTTTGTGTGTAACTGGCTAATATCATTTGTTACAAAGACAAATACATCATCATTCCACTTACGTGAGGATCTAAAGTAAACTAATAACAGCACAAAGTAGAATGGGGGTTACCAGTGACTGAGGGGAGGGAAACATTGATATAAGTGCTGTTCAAAGAGTGTAATGTTTCAGTTATTTCAAATGAAAAACAAAATTCTAGAGAGCTGCAGTATAATATTGTCCTTATAGTTAACAATAATATACTGTGCATTTAACAATTTGTTAACAGGATAGATCTCATATCAAGTGAATGGCTGTTCATCTATTTTTAAACTTCTGAATGATTATATAAGGAAGATTAAGGACTCCGCCAAGGGTTCAGTTCCCAGTAAATCCTTTTAATTGGACAAAATGCCTCACGTTAAAGCTGTGTCTCACCTAACAAAGCTCAATAAGGCCAAGGGACCCATAATTTAATAGACACAGCAAAGTCTATGGAGCCAGAGTAAGAAAACAACTATAGAAATTCTAAGAAGTATGCTTAAAAAGATGCTATTTCTGTGGCATATCTCTTGACACATGAAACTGACTGGAGTCAAATAGATAAGGCATTTCGTTTTTAAGAGAGTTATCCTGCCAGAGAAACCACCAGGCCAGACAAAGGAAGTCTGAGTCTTGTTGAGGCTGAAATAACCTCAGGGCCATCAATTTCCATAGCCAATGAGCTGGCTAAGAAACCTGTATGACTCTCAAGGAGTGTATATATAGTATCCATTGCCTTCTTTGGTGCTGGCCAATGAGGTTAATGAAAATGAAAGTATTCCAGAAGGTGAATGGACCCACAGAATAGTAGATAGGGGAGCCCCTCTTAGCAGAAAAATTGAATACTTTTTCTGCCTAATTCTCAACTCCCAGATTAGGGGGGCTGGCAACAGGACAAAATTCCATTGGCTGCCATGTGTTTCTCTTTCTTCTCCTTTTAGAGGTAAATCATTTATTGTGTTTACACTACCTCTGTGTCACCACTGTTTATCGCATGTGGGAGAGCAGATACAATATCTTTTAATGCATAGGTTTCTTTGTCTTGTGATGCTTCCTCTAAACTTGATGTAGAAACTACAACTTGTTATTTTTCCTCCTCATTCTCTCACTATCCCCGATCCTCCAACCCAAACACAAACTGGATCAATGTATAAATTATCAAATCCTTCAATTTGAACTTGATAACAATCCTGGATATGGCTTGTGAGCTGCCTTTCTTGAGTATTTTTCTGCGGGAGAAAGAATCATTCTCATATTTGGTAACCTTGGGGTGAGTCACCATGATCATCATGTTATTTACCAAATATTTCTATCTTCTAAGTGAGTGGTAAGATGGTTCTTCACTAATGCCTTTGAAGTTAGACAAAGTAACCTTATTTGGTTCATGAAAATTTACTGGAATCCATGAGTGTCAATTCTGGGTGGAGATGTTATAAGATTGAACTTCAATTGCAAAGTTATTTTTCCTTGCCTTGGCAGAGGTAGAACAAATAATTATAGTGGTATTACAAACAATGAGCTGTCATAGTCCAGTTCATAATATTTGTGGACTGGCTTGGTAAATGAGATCTGCAGGGAGCACTGCAGCATCTACCATGCAATCACATTAACACTTACTATAAACTGAATGTGCTTATGTCTTTAAAATGGCAAATGTAAGTTTACAAGGAACCTCTCAAATATCATTTATAGTTTTCTGGGTAAATGCACATTGTTTTTATTGCCCTGTAATAGAAAATGATTATATTGTGACCTAATCAATAATTTATTTTTGAAAGAAAAAGACTGTAATTTTATATTATAGATGTACTTATTTCTTAGGTTCTTGCTATACATATACTTTTTTTTTTTGAAAGAGGGTCTCACTCCGTTGCCCAGGCTGGAGTGCAGTGGTGCAATGTCAGCTCACTGTAATCAGTGCCTCACCTGTTCAAGTGATTATCATGACTTAGCCTCTCAAGTAGCTGGTATTACAGGCACCCGCCACCACACTCAGCTGATTTTTGTATTTTTAGTGGAGATGGGGTTTCATCATGTTGGCCAGGCTGGTCTCAAACTTCAGGCCTCAAGTGATCCACCCGCCTCCCAAAATGCTGGGATTACAGGCGTGAGCCACCCCGCCCGGTTTATACACATAGTTTTATTTAGTCAACTTATCTCCTTGTAAGGTCAGCTCATGATTCCCATGCTAGATATAATAAAAATAAAACCTAGTTAATAAATTCCAGTAAACTCATTAAAATAGTGACAAGCTCAGAATATTAATCCGTATCTCCTCATTCCAGGTTTACTGTTCATTCAGTTTTTCTGTTCCACATGTATAACGTCTATGTAAAATTACACAGTTATCCAAATGTAAGTGTCTTTTTTTTTGAAAGTTGTTCTAAGTCTGTTTAACATGGAGCCCATAAATTTAACCTGAAAAAAAATTAATATTCATCCTAATATCTAATTGAAATTTAGTGTCCTCCTCAATTATGACTATGGGTATCAATTCACAGCAGTATGAGAAATATCCATGAATTTATCATCAGTAGAAAACAAATATTATACTAAATACCTTGTATGTGTATTACTTGTTTGAAATTTTGGCAATGATTAGACCTGCTGCTTGATTTTGTTATTTATTGAATTAATTAAGATACACAAATATTATTTTACCATAACTGTTTTAAAAAGTATTTCATAGGTCTATTTTAATAGAATTTGTTTCCTATGTAATAGTCCATATTTTATATATTTATTTGTGCTTTAAAAATATAATTCTGTCACCAGGCTGACAAAAAGTTTCATTGAAGGAGAAAAGTTGAGATTTTTCTTAAAAATTCATAATAAACTCTTGAATAATTGATTACTATATTATGTATCATGGGTATCTCTACTTTTATAATAAGTTATTATAAATTTGCATACATTTTATAATTTGCCCTTATATAGCTGTTTAATTCCCATTTCTCTTCTCAATATTGCCATGCACATCCTCCCCATCCACCTACCCATTGCCATCCTCCCCTCCCTACCCACAGACATAAACTGGCTAACAGTTTGGGCTGAACTATTGCTTTCTCCAGCTAACTTAAGACAGAAGCTCTGTCAAATCAAATACAGTTTTAAATATAGACAATTTTTAACACTGTGTGCTTTTTCTCAAATGAAAAGTACTTTGTGTAGGCTGGCTCATGTAAGACACTCATTAGCTTGCATCTGACAAACTCTGATGTTCATTTCTGAAGCTGGAAGCTGACATGAAACCATAGGCTGAAAATTCATTTATAGCTTTCTCTGCTGATTAAAAACTTGCTATATAAATCAAAGTTTTTCTTTCATTTTCTCAGTAGATTAAATATTATTCAATAAATGACTTCTAGGGGCAGTATTCTATCCAGGGATGTGTCACAAACTCTCTGGTTATGTATGTAGACTATGTTTCTAGAGTGAAAACTCCTCAAGGAGTCTGCTGTTCTGTCCACCAAGAAAAATGCCTAGAAAATCAGTAGACACTTCATATTTATTTGATGAAAGGGTGACAACAATACATAGATTTTTTGATGACTTCATGATATGATACTTTATTCCATGGGAGCAGCATGATCTATTCACCTTTCCCTAATTCTGTCAAGGTATTTTCAGGAACCAGATGATGTACTCAAATGCAATCATTGGGAAGGACTTAACAGAGGATGTGGGTACAGTTAAGGGAGCTGACTAGGGATGCTACTAAAGCAGGAATTCTCAACAGAATGAGCCTCTTACACATCCTGGCCCTGAAGAAACACCGGTTGGGAGCAGATATTACTCCAGAGAGAGCATCCTGTTATCTTAGCAGAGCACCATCTGAAAGAAGCTGTGGCTCACTGTAAAGCAGCCAACTCTTAGTGGTGCTGCATAGAGGAGAATAGAACTCCTCTCCTCCTACCCTTGATCTCCTGCCTGTGCTTCACACTGGCTAAACCCAACCCAGGACTAATGAACTAGTGAGCCCAGGTATACAGTTCTGAGTTTACCTTTTGTAGCACTGAGGAAAATGAAGAAGACCTGAAAATGAATCATACAGTAAACATAATTTCTGGTAAATCTAATAATAAATGATGATTTGATAAATGTGTTTATCTAAACCTCTCTTTCATATGACTAATTTTATTTTATTTTTTATTTTTAAAAAAACTTTTATTATAGGTTCGAGGGTACTTGTGAAGGTTTGTTACAAAGGTGCATTTGTATCACAGAGGTTTGCTGTACAGATTAGGTAGTCACCCAGGTATTAAGCCCAGTACCCAACAGTTATCTTTTCTACTCCACTCCCTCCTTCCAGCCTCCACCTCCAAGTAGCTCCTATTGTCTGTCGTTTCCTTCTTGGTCTTCATTGAGTTCTCATCATTTAGCTCCTACTTATAAGTGACAACATGTGATATTTGGTTTTCTATTCCTGCATCAGCTTGCGTAGGATAATAGCCTCCAGCTCCATCCATGTTCAAGCAAAAGATATGACTGCATTCCTTCTTATGGCTGCACAGTATTCCATGGTATCTATGTACCACAATTTTTTTTTATCCAGTCTGTCATTGATGGACATTTAAGTTGGTTCTATGTCTTTGCTTTTCTGAACAGTGCTGCAATGAACATACACATACATGTGTCTTTGTGGTAGAATGATTTATATTCCTCTGGATATATACCCAGTAATGGGATTGCTGGGTCGAATGGTAATTCTGCTTTTAGTTCTTTGAGGCATTGCTATCCTGCTTTCCACAGTAGTTGAACTAGTTTACACCCCCACCATCAGTGCATGTGTTTGCTTTTCTCCACGACCTCGTCAGCATCTGTTACTTTTTGACTTTTTAATAATGGCCATTCTGACTGTTGTGAGATGGGGTCTTATTGTGGTTTTGATTTGTATTTTTCTAATGATCAGTGATACTGAGCTTTTTTTCATATGCTGTTGGCCGCATGTATGTCTTCTTTTGAGAAGTGTCAGTTCATGTTCTTTGCTTGCATTGCAGTTTCTTTTGGTGCCCTTGTCATGAAATCTTTGCCCTTCCTATGTCCAGGATGGTATTGCCTAGGTTGCATATGACTAATTTCTTAAGAAACTTTCTAGAATTTGAGTTAATCAAATACTGTACATAATTTTAAAAACTTTGATGTATTTTCTAAATTAATTTGAAAAAGAATTGAATGTATTTTGCTCTCACCATTAATAATACTTAAAGATTTATTATAATTTCTCTTTTTATACTAAGAATTGTCCATCCTATTACCCACTTAATAGCACTGAATGCTGTCCATGTCTGTGCCTTTTTCCCCAGCATATTAGCTGAATATCAAATTTTATAAGCTCAAACTTCAATTTTAACATTTGCATTTTGTTGCTCTCCATTGATACTGAAATTGCATTATTGTTTTTTATTTAATGTAAAATTTCAACCACTTCCATATTTTTAATAACTATGTAATATACTGATAAATCTCAGTATTAAAAATCTGCTGTAAATTCTAGACTCCATTATCCAAATGCATGTTTGATATTTCCACTTGGATGTTAAATGCATATTTGAGTTATTATTTCCACTTGGATGTTAAATAGGGCATATTGATCGATCTTAACATTCAAAATCAAAACCTTGACTTTCTACTCCCACACACAACCTGAACATCTCATGTGTCTCTCATTAGTAAATGACAGCACTAATCTGTTGTTCAAGGCAAAGCCTTAAATTCATCCCTCACTCCTCCACTTCTATTAATTTATTTCCAGTTGTCTCTCCTTGCCTTTTGTTGACCAGGATATTTCAATCTCCTCATTATTTTCTCTTCCTCCTTTCTTATCTTGTAATGTCTATGTTTTATGTAGCAGCCAGAGCTATCATTTAACATTTAAGTTATGTCGTGATCCTCTTCTGCCACAAATCCTTATGTGATTTAGATATCATGAAGATTAAATTTATGGGTTGCAAGACTCTGAAATCCTGCTGTCCCTTCAATTTTATTGTCTGTAAAGCTCTCCTTATTCGCTCAGCTGTAGGGGCACTTTTGTTCCTTCTGTGACTTGTAAGCTTCTGTCCTAAACATCCTTTCTCCACCCACCTTCTCTCACACATACATTTTGCTGGGCCTCTTCTCTGGAATGCTGTTCCCATTGATATCATCATGTCTCATGCCCTATCTCCCTTCAGCTTTCTGCTCAAATGTCACCATAAGAGAGAGGCCCTCTTTTTTTTTTTTTTTTTTTTCAGAGAGGCATTCTTTGACCACAATATCAAAAGTAACTACCTCCCCAATTTATCCTCCCTCCACTCAACTTGCTTTATTCTTCTTCTTCTTCGTAATTTTTTAGAACAATTTTAGATTTACATAAAAACTGAGAAGCTAGTACATAATATTTCAATATACCTTTCAACCAGTTTTGCCTATTATTAACATGTTACATTGGTATAGTACATATTTTACAATTAATGAAGAAATATTGATATATTTTATATTTAAACTTTATAGTTTATTCAGATTTCCTTAATTTATACCTCCTATGTTTTTTCTTCTAAGATTCCATCCAGGATACCACATTTCATTTAGCAGTGATGTCTTCTTATGCTTCTGTTGCCAAAGATATTTTCTCAGATTTCTGAGAAAATTTACTATTTTTGATGACTTTGGCAGTGTTAAGAAGTACCCATCAGGTATTTTGTAGAATGCCACTTTGTTGGAATTTCCTCGTTTTTTGTTTGTTTGTTTTGTTTTGTTTTGTTTTCACTGAGCTCATGGGTCTGGGGTGAAGGACCATGGAGATCATGTGCCATTTTCAACATATTGTAAGGAGGGTACTTACTACCCTTGTTTTAATATTGTGATATTGGACTTGAGGTAGCTTGTCAGATTTCTCCACTGGAAAGTTATTTGTTTCTTGCAATTTCTACACTGTCCTTTTTGGAAGGAAATTACTCTGTGCATCCTACACTTAGGAAGTGAGGATTTACACTCTTCCTCCTTGAGGGCAGAGTATTCACATACATTATTTAGAATTCATTTTTAAGAGAAATTATCTCCTTGCCCAATTATCTATTGGTTCAGTTGTTTATTTATATCAGTATAAACTTACAGATACAGGTAGAACATCCAAAATTCAAAACTCTGAAATCTGAAATGCTCCACAATTCAAAACTGTTTGAGTGCCAACCTGATGCTCAAATGAAATTCCCATTGGCACATTTTGAATTTGGGTTTTTCAGCTTTGAAATGCTCAACTCATAAGAATAACGTAAATATTTCAAAATCCGAAAAGATCCAAAACCGAAACATTTCTGTTCTGAAGCATTTTATTTAAAGAATATTCAACCTGAATTTATTTCAGCTATTGGGTTATAACACAATGCTTCTTTTTTTTGTCTTTTTATTTTACTTATTTATTTTTTATTTTTATCTTTTTTTATTATACTTTAAGTTCTAGGGTACATGTGCACTACGTGCAGGTTTGTTATATATGTGTACATGTGCCATGTTGGTGTGCTGCACCCAGTAACTCATCATTTACATTAGGTGTATCTCCTAATGCTATCCCTCCCCCTCCCCCAACCCCACGACAGGCCCTGGTATGTGATGTTCACCTTCCTGTGTCCAAGTGTTCTCATTGTTCAATTCTCACCTATGAGTGAGAACATGCGGTGTTTGGTTTTTTGTCCTTGCGTTAGTTTGCTGAGAATGATGGTTTCCAGCTTCATCCATGTCCCTATAAAGGACATGAACTCATCATTTTTTATGGCTGCATAGTATTCCATGGTGTATATGTGCCACATTTTCTTAATCCAGTCTATCATTGATGGACATTTGGGTTGGTTCCAAGTCTTTGCTATTGTGAATAGTGCCACAATAAACATACGTGTGCATGTGTCTTTATAGCAGCATGATTTATATTCCTTTGGGTATATACCCAGTAATGGGATGGCTGGGTCAAATAGTATTTCTAATTCTAGATCCTTGAGGAATCACCACACTGTCTTCCACAATGGTTGAACTAGTTTACAGTCCCACCAACAGTGTAAAAGTGTTCCTATTTCTCCATATCCTCTCCAGCACCTGTTGTTTCCTGACATTTAATGATCGCCATTCTAACTGGTGTGAGATGGCATCTCATTGTGGTTTTGATTTGCATTTCTCTGATGGCCAGTGATTATGAGCATTTTTTCATGTGTCTTTTGGCTGCATAAATGTCTTCTTTTGGGAAGTATCTGTTTATATCCTCCCCCACTTTTTGATGGGGTTGTTTGTTTTTTTCTTGTAAGTTTGTCTGAGTTCTTTGTAGATTCTGAATATTAGCCCTTTGTCAGATGAGTAGTTGGCAAAAATTTTCTCCCACTCTGTAGGAATTCTTCTTTATTTATTCTGTTGCTCAAGTTTTTCCAACTTTGGTCACTGTGAATTGTTCCAACCTTTCCCTTTAGAAAACCTCCATCAATGTAGCAGCGTTTTGTTGAGAGAGAGAGAGAGAGAGAGAGAGAGAGAGAGTGTGTGTGTGTGTGTATGTTAAGCACTGCTTTAATTTCTGACACTATGAGATGCTTCAAGTTCATCATGTATTTCCTTCTCTAATCTTAGCCATTTTTTGAAGGATCCTGATTCATTTTGATGGAAAATGGTATTAGACACTAAGAGCTAGGTTATAGATGAGTTCATTAGTACTGGATGACATTGCTTTTAGGCTATCTCAGCTGACAGAGTAAAGAATATATATGTGTATATACTAACTTGTGTAAATATACATATCTATAAATATTTCAAAATGTAGCCATCTATATCTATATTAAAATAAATGATTTTACATTGGTGTCTTCAGCTCTTAATTATTACCCCATGGATCATGGTAACCTCCTGTTGGTTATCTGTAAATTCCCACACCAAAAATAAGAAACCTGAATCCCAACATCTGCCAACTACTTACTTAATTGTTCAGTTCCAGTATACAAATATAGCAGCAAGAGAATTGTCAAAACATACCCTTGCGGAAAACAACTTTATTAACTAGAGTCCAGTGCCTCTGTGCAATTTTTTTCCATTTAGTCTTAGAAACTGCACTCAACTTTGGAAAATTACTTACGCCAGCATGTTTTCCTCCCACTCTCTTCACTGAGGTTGTTTCATACATTTATAATACAGTTAGATTATCTTGTTACAGCCTGAATTCTTTCCTGAAGCCATCTTTCCAGCTCCTACCTACTAAATGTTTTTTTCTTTTAATTTGTATACATTAAGGTTCATTCATAATAAGCCTTTATATAAAGTTCTGTGGGTTTTGGTAAGTGCATAATGTCATGTATCTACCATTGCAGTATTATACAAAATGGTGTCACTGCCCAAAATGTCTCCTTTGCTTCACCTGTTCATCCTTCTTGTCTTTTCAAACCACTGGAAACCACTCATCTTTTACTATATGCAAAGTTTTGCCTATTGCAGAATGTCATATAACTTAAATCATTCAATATGTAGCCTTTTCAGAAAAGATGCTCTCCCTTAGCATTTTTGAATTTAAATTTCCTTTTGTCTTTGGGTGACTTGGTAGCTAATTTCATTTAATTACTGAGTAATGTTCAATTATAGGAATCTATCACAATCTGTTTATCTATTCATCTATTAAAAATCTAGGTTTTTTCCACCAATTTTTGGAGATTAAGAATAAAGATTCTATAAACATTAATACGTAAGTTTTCCTGTGGACATTATTTTTCAATCAAGTATATATGTAAGTGTGATTCCCATGTTATGTGGTTTACTAGAAAGCTTAACTGTGGCTGAAGTTGTTCCAACTTCGGTCACTGTGATTGTGTCATCTTATGTCCCTTTAAAACAACCCCATCAGTTTAGTATCTTTGTTTTGTTGAGTGTATGGGTGTGTAGAATCTTCCAAATAGTTTTCCAAAGTGGCAGTATCATTTTGCATTCTCATCAGCAGCGAAAGAGTTACTGTTGCTCCATATCTATGACAGCATTTGAAATTCTCAATTTTTGGATTTTCACCATTCAGATATAATAGGTATGTCATAGCATCTTGTTTTAATTTGCAATTCACTAACTGCAAAAAATTTTGGCCATTTTTATGCTTATTTCTCATATGTATATCTTCTTTGGTTAGATATCTTTGCAGAACTTTTGATGATATTTTTGTATTCTTATTGTAGAGTTTTCAATGTTCTTTTTATATTTTAGATAAAAGTCCTTATCAGATATGTGTTACAAATATTTTCTTCCAGTCTGCCTTATCTTTCCATTCTCTTAACACTGTTTTACACAAAAAAATAAGTTTTCAATTTTAACAGAATCCATGTTATCATTTTTTTAATGAATCATACTTTTAGTGTTGTATCTAAAATTCATCGTCAGACCCAAGATACTTTTGGCATTTTGAGTTTTTTCTAAAACTCATTGCCAAACCCAAGGTCATTAAGATATTCTTCAGCATTTTCTTCGAGAAATTTTGTAATATTTTTATCTGCATCATAAAGCAAAGGATAGGATTTGTTTTCTGGGAAGACAAAGTCCTTTTGTCCTCTGAAAAAGCCTCCTATACAGTTGGAAAAAAATAAAATTTGTAATTTTACATTTATATCTAGGATCCATTTTGTGTTACTTCAAGTGAAAAGTGAAAGCTCTCTGCATATATTTATTTTCAATTTTTTTGCATATGGATGCCTAGTTTTTTCAGCACCATTTGTTGAGAAGATTATTCTTTCTACATTGAATTGCCTTTGTCCCTTTGTCAAATGAGAGTTGACAGTATTTGTGTGGGTCTAATTCTGGACTCTATTCTATTTAATGACCCTATCGTCTGTTCTTTCTGCAATACCATGCTATCATGATTACTGTACCTACATAGCAAGTTTGGAAATTATTTTGCTTTGTTTTTATTCATAACACTTGGTAACATTTGCCATTAAATTTATTATTTGTTTTTCTTCTGCCACTATCTCTATTGAATAAGAGTATCTGCTTAACTCACTGCTATCCTTATATGAAGAGAAGTCATTGCATATGGCATGATTTGTATCAGCTTTGGAGAATGAATATGATAGCTCATGTATATTTATTTTTCCTTTATTTTTATTTATTTTTATTTTTTTTTAGACGGAGTCTCGCTCCGTCACCAGGCTGGAGGGCATGATCTCGGCTCACTGCAACCTCTGCCTCTTGGGTTCAAGTGATTCCCCTGCCTCAGCCTCCCAAGTAGCTGGGACCACAGGTGCACACCATCACACCCAGCTAAGTTTTGTATTTTTAGTAGAGACAGGATTTCACCATGTTGGCCAGGATGGTCTCGATCTCCTGGCCTCTTGATCTGCCCACCTCAGCCTCTCAAAGTGCTGGGATTACAGGCATGAGCCACCACGCCCGGCCTCATGTGCGTTTTTAAAAGACATAGATGCATATCTTATTTTGTTCCCTTTTTTAATAACTTTTTAATATATTAATGATATTGACTGATTCTTCATAAAATCTTGTGTAATCTTAAGGGAAGTCCACTCAGATGGTAGGATGTGGTGAAATTGAATACTTCTGTCTTTTACATCAGCTTAATTACTCCTTCCCTTATAAAACTTTCTTTTCCTCTGATTTTCTTTTTTTTTTATTATTATACTTTAAGTTTTAGGGTACATGTGCACAACGTGCAGGTCAGTTACATATGTATACATGTCCCATGTTGGTGTGCTGCACCCAGTAACTCATCATTTAACATTAAGTATATCTCCAAATGCTATCCCTCCCCCGTCTCCCCACCCCACAACAGACCCCGGTGTGTGATGTTCCCCTTCCTGTGTCCATGTGTTCTCATTGTTCAATTCCCACCTATGAGTGAGAACATGTGGTGTTTGTTTTTTTTTGTCCTTGTGATAGTTTGCTGAGAATGATGGCTTCCAGCTTCATCCATATCCCTTCAAAGGACATGAACTCATCATTTTTTATGGCTGCATAGTATTCCATGTGTATATGTGCCACATTTTCTTAATCCAGTCTATCATTGATGGACATTTGGGTTGGCTCCAAGTCTTTGCTATTGTGAATAGTGCCACAGTAAACATCAGAGTGAATAGGCAACCTACAGAATGGGAGAAAATTTTTGCAATCTTTTCCTCTGATTTTCCATAGGTTCACAGACCCCAATCTGTTGTGTATAGAAGCCCTGTTGGGCATTGGTTGTTTCTATTGCTCAAAGGCAAGTATTAACACATGGACTTATGCTTATATGCTGGGTGTGGAATGCCCTTGGCTTTATTATAGTCCAATTTCATGCTCCATATTATATATTTTGGCATATCAACTTTAAAACCTTTTCTATAGTTTCTAGTGTTTAAAAACATTAACCAATCAGGCATGGTGGCTCACTCTTGTAATCCCAGCACTTTGGGAGGCCGAGGAGGGCAGATCATGAGGTCAAGAGATCGAGACCATCCGGGCTAACATGGTGAAACACCTTCTCTACTAAAAATACAAAAATTAGCTGGGTATGATGGCATGTGCCTGTAGTTCCAGCTACTTGAGAGTCTGAGGCAGGAGGATCGCTTGAACCCAGGAGGCAGAGGTTGTGGTGAGCCGAGATCACACCACTGCACTCCAGCCTGGAGACAGAGTGGATTCCATCTCAAAAAAAAAAAAATTACCATTTGTTTGTGATAATAACAAATTCTACTTGCTCCATCACTAATAGCTTGTTAGCCAACAATCTTAAACATGTCAGCATGTCAGGACCATAGACAGCTTTCTCTTAACTGTTGCTTTTCCATCTCTGGCACTGATTAAAATGATTTGCTCATAAGGTATATGTTCAAGTTAAAATATATACAATATTATATCACTCTCCATTTTCTGTTTTTTTCTTTGTGTTGTTTTATTCTAAAGCTGCATTAGTTCAATAGATATAATAGTATCTTGGCCATCTCCAAGATGGACATCTTTGCAATGGAAGACCATATACAATTTTTGATTCCCTGGATTTCCATTCAAGGGGCCAATCCAATATTGTCAGAAAAATTGCTTACGTTTATCCTTTAAATTGAAAGTGGACATATATACACACACACACACACATACATATATGTTTATACACACACACATATGCATCTCAGAAAACAATCGATCCTTGTTTATTTATTAAACTAGCTCCACCATCATTACAGACAACAGTTAATTTTCTCATATTCTGGCAATGGGTTGTTTCTAAGTCTTTATATTCTATCATTTCATATATTCTATACATATCATATTTTATAATATATGATGTTATTTTTATTTTGATAAACCATTAGCAAAAGGTCATTCAAGAGCTTCTCTTCTGATACTAGATTTTTTGCCTTAGGGAAGGCATGAAACTAAATTTTTTAAGCTGGACATTTGATGGTGATAGCCATTGAGGATTGCTTATATGAAGATGGCAGCTCATATTTCTGCTAATTCTGTTTTCCTTAAACTAATTTTACACCACTAATTTGGATAAAGATAGTATACCAAATTACATGCCAGCACTTGGGCACAGAGTTCTTAAAAAATCAGTAAATGGTTTTAAAAAGCATATCCATATCTATATCTATATATAAATCTATAGATATAGATATAGATATATAGAGATATAGATATATATGTTAAGCTTAACAAACTAGTGATTAAATATGTATATATTTATACATGTACACATATATGGTTATATAATAAATGTAACCACTATTAATTAATAAGAAAAAATAAATTTAAGCATATATCCCTCAAAAGTTATTTGATTTTAGAAGATACATCATTTTGGTGTCACTTATATTTATAGAATGTGTTCTTTATATATGTGTTATTTGCTTACCTAAGCTGTCAAGACTTGTCTCCCCAACTGGTATGAGAGACAAAACAGAGTATTGGAAAATCACAGGAATCTAGGAATCAAACAACATATGTATGACATTTTCCAAAACCACAAAATTATTGGGTGATGAGAAATCATTTGTTTCATCTATCCAAACCTCAGAAATATTATTTGAAAAAATATTTAAATTATATGACCGTATCACACAGTTTTGTTTTGTTTTTGCATTTTGAAGATCAATAGATTAATGTATGTTGAAGTTCATTATTGATCAAAATAGTATGATAATATTAAAATTAATCACAAACACTTGTGTTATTTGTACATTTCAGCTGAGAAACTTTGTCTGAAGAAAAAGATTAGAATAATTAAAATACCTTATCTGAGTTAAAACTTCTGTAAGTGTATATGTGTAGGTATAGAGAGGAGAAAGCACATAATTTAATTTAATTTTAGATGTGCATTTTATATGCTGAAAATCCTATTTAATTACAGTAATTCACCTTTTTTGACATACAAATATTTAATAGCAGACATTTTTCTCAAATATAATTGGAATATAATTAAGAGAGCAAAGGAATAATAATGAAACAATTTTCAGTTTTTAAAGTTAACAAGATTTGAGTGAGTTCCCTGATTACAAAATCAAAGTTGAGCCACATTTAAAACATTGTACTTTATAGTACATCTGATAGTATTTATTTATCAACAAAAATGTGATTAAAATGCAAAGCATTTAATGCTGACAAATAATTAGGCATAGAAAACTTAGTAATCAGCTTTTCCCTATTGAATAAGTAATATGAAGAATTTTTAATAAATCCAATGGGATAAAAAGCTTGCTATCTTTAAAATAAAAATGCAACAGAAAATCCTTTTGGGTGTGCACTTTTGTCCAAAAGCAGAGGAATGTACAGGTGTTAAATTGGCCCCAAGAGAGTTGTACTGATGTTCTCTAAATGAAAAATAAATTTATAAAGAATTATGAGAAAAATAAAGAAGATATACCATCAAAGGACTACATAGTTGAAGCAAACATTCTGTAATTTATACCAATCGTGTTGTGAAGTTTATACAGAATCTCATGTTATGCAAATTTTTATGAGAATTACTCTACATCACTGCAGATTTTATCCCATTTGTTAGGGGAAAAAAACCCTGAATGTTTTCAAAAGGCCTATTTTCTCCCAGTTCAACTCTTTCTATTTCTCTATCAGTTTGTTTATGCACTGGAATGTTAAGTCAATGTCATACATGATCCGAGGCTCAAAGTAGTAATTATTTATATTAGGCATTAATGAATTAACCAATTAATTTTTGCAGATACATATTAAGTGCTGACTGCATGTCAATAACTTTTATGCAAGACACAATACCTTGCAAACTATTTAACCACTATATGTGTTACATTTAAACTAGTGGAAACAGTCAATAAGCATATAATCCATTAAATGAAAGAGATAATAAAAGTAGTGGTAAATCATGTGAAGGAAATGAATGGATGGTATAACAGAAAGCAATAGAGACTAAAACGGGGTAAGCTATTTTTCAAAAGGTTGTTCAGAGACTTCCCCCAAAACAGAATATAATATAAAAACTGAAAGAATGAGGAGATGGCTATGGATGAGCGAGATAAGATAGATGCAGGTTAGAGCATGAGCAAAGGCAAGAAGTCCGTGAATTGGGCAAGTGCTTAAAACACATAGGAGGTCTTCAAGTTGGCACATATGGAGCAATATCACTTTGTTCTAGTCAGTCCATGCTGCTATATCAAGATACCATAGACTGTGTGGCTTAAACAACAAATTTTTATTTCTGAAAATTCTGGAAACTGGGGAATCCAAAATGAATGCACCAGCAGGTCTGCTGTCTGATGACAGCACTCTTTCTGGTTTACAGACAACCATTTTCTCATTGTATCTTCACATAGCCAAGAGCAAAAAAAAACAAAACAAACAAACAAACAAACAAACAAACAAAAAACAAAACGAAACAAAAAAAACAGGAAAAAAAGCTCAGGTACCTTCATGTCCTTTTAAAGGGACAAATCTCATCATTAGAGACTCCACTCTCATGATCTAATCTAACCTTGGTATCTCCTAAAGGCCCCACCTCCTAATACTATCAGTCTGGGGGTTAAGATTTTAGCATATGAATTTTGATGGGCCACAAATATTTAGTCTATAATAGTCTACCCTAGTTCTCCCATGTCCTTTTCACATATAAAACACATTCATTTCATCCCAATAGGCCCCAAAGTCTATACTTATTCCAACATCAACTCTATGAAGTTCAAAATCTCATCTAATATCATGTAAATAAGATATGGATGAGACATAAGGTATTATTTATCCTGAGTAAAATTTTTGTCTACATATGAACCACTGATAGCAAGCAGGTAATGTGCTCTCAAAATACAATAATGGGATAAGCAATGATAAGATAAACATACTTATTCTAAAAGGGAGGAATAAGAAAGAAGGAAAGGATGACAGGTCCAAAGCAAGTTTAAAACCCAACAAGGCAAACTCCATGAGATTTTAAGCCTTGAGAATAATCCTCTTTTGCTTAGTGCTCTGCGGTCCAAGTCCACTGGGGCAGTGGTCTCACTTTCTGAACCTCCTGGGGTGGCAGTCCCATCCCCATGGTTCTGGGTGACCACCCCTACCCTGAAGCCCTGTGAAGAAACTATCTGGCATGTTGAAAGTGAGGCAATAGTCCCTCCTTTGAAACCAACAACACATACCTGAATTATCTTTCGAGTCATTCTTCTCTTGTCTTGAATAATAGTTCTTTTTTTTTTTTTTTTTTTTTTTTGCAGCTGAATAGCTGTAGGGAGCTGGCCTATAAAATCCAAGAAATCCACCAGCCTTCTTTCATTCCTTCCCATATCCTTCTTCTTCACTTCAAACTGGCAGCTTTCCTCCTGGGCTGTCATATTAAGTCTATGGTTCACACCCCTACTAACCCCTTTATCAAAAGACATTTAGCCACATCTTTAGTATTCACTCTCAAATACTTTCTCATTTTTGCAATATGAATAGCCTGAAAATTTTTCAGATCTTTAAACTTTGTTTTATTCTTGCTAAACAATTTCATTTTAAGTAATTTTTGTGTCTCACATTTTACTATAAAGAGAAGCCAATATGCTCCTTCAACAATTTTCTTAGAAATCTCTTTAGCTATGTATTCTATTTCACTGCTCCCAAATTCTACATTCTGTAAAACACTGGAACATAAACACAATTTAGCCAAGGTCTTTTCTACTTTATAACAAGGATACCCTTTTCTCAAATTTCCAACAATGTGTTCCCCATTTCCATCTGGAAGTTCACTAGAATGGCATTTACTGTCCATATTTTTATCAACGTTCTGTTCCATGTTACTTAGATATGCTTTTTTTTTTTTTTTTTGGAGACGGAGTTTCACCCTTGTTGCCCAGGTTAGAGTGCAATGGAGCAGTCTGATCTGGGCTCACTGCAACTTCCGCCTCCCGGGTTCAAGTGATTCGCCTGCCTCAGCCTCCCAAGTAGCTGGGATTACAGGCATGCGCCACTACACCAGACTAATTTTGTATTTTTAGTAGAGACAGAGTTTCTCCATGTTGGTCAGGCTGGTCTCGAACTCCTGACCTCAGGTGATCCGCCCGCCTCGGCCTTCTAATGTGCTAGGATTACAGGCCTGAGCCACCACGCCCGGCCATTATTTAGATATTCTTGAAGAAGATTAAGCATTTCTCTATTGTTCTCTTTTCTTTCTATGACCTCACCAGAATCATCCTCAATGATCTATTCATAGCAATGCAGTCCTTTTCCTAGCATGCGCCTTAAAACTCTCTCAGCCTTTACCTATTATTACCCAGTTCCAAAGCCACTTCCACATTTTTAGATATTTGTTATAGTAGCAACCCACTTCTGGTACTAATCTTAGTTTGTGCTGCCATAACCAATTATTTTACTAGGTGGCTTATAAACAGCAGAAATTAATTTCTCACTGTACTGAAGCCTGGGAAGTCTAACATCAAGCAAGGCATGGCAGATTTGGTGTCTGGTGAGGACCAGTTTCCTGGTTCATAGATGGCCATTGTTCTGCTGTGTCTTCACATGGTCAAAAGGCAAGAGAACCCTCTCATGCCTCTCTTACAAGGGCACCATCTCATTCATAAGAGCTCTACCTCCATGACATAATCAACTCCCAACAGCCCCATTCCTAATATTATCACCTTGAGCAGGGCCCCCCAACCCCCAGTCTGCACACCAGTACTGGTCCCTGGTCTGTTAGGGACCAGGCTGCACAGCAGGAGGTGAGCAGCAGGCAGGAGAGCATTACCACCTGAGCTCTGCCTCTTGTGAGATCAGCAGCAGCATTCAATTCCCACTGGAATGCAAATCCTATTGTGAGCTGGGCGTGCAAGGGATCTAGGTTGCGTGCTGCTTATGAGAATCCAGTGCCTGATGATATATATATACATTTGTACATATGCATTTATATATTCATCTGTATACGTATCCATATCTATATGTAATGTATATGTGTGCGTATGTATTCAAGTCATAGTATAAAATCATTAGAACCACTTTGCTCCCTATTTTTAATTATGCCCAAATGGTGTTGGTGATAGAAGTATAAAAATTACTTCTTTATTTTGACCAAGAATAAGAAAAGAATGGATTCTTTATTTTTCCAATAGATCCACTTTTCTCCTGATATAAATGACACTCAAGAAATCACTCAGTCATCCACCTAGTTCATAAATAATCTAGAAGTTACACCTTATTTTTATTTTTTCTTCACCCTCCATAACCAATATATAAGATGATATTATCTACTCTTGTAAATATCTACATATGTGAATTAGATCCACATATTAGTTCTGATTTCCCAGAAACAAAACCTGAGACAAGGATTTTTGGGCAATTGATCAGTTAAAAATTTTGTTCCAGGTAAGGAATTTCAGGATTAAGTGGAGTAATAGGACAGGGATGGAAAAGAAGCCAAACAAAGGTATCAAAATCCCAGCTTCATTACGATTCTGTAGGAAAGCTCTAGAACGTAGATAATATGTTGAGTTTCATACTGTGGCACCTGTTGCATACTGGCAATGGGATATTACAGATGTCTGTAAACTTGCAGCACGTTAGGCATCCTGTGCATGTGGGCAAAGTGGTTCCAGTAGCCAAGGGAAGTTGTTCAAAGACAGTTGCAGGGGCAGACCATTAGAAGCAAAAGCATAGAAAAATTGTAGTGTATGGAGTGTGGGTGTGTGGCCACATTAAAGGATCAAAGGGAATCTGAGCAGCGTTTCAGTGTCTACTTCAAACCACTTCTCTATATGCCTTCATCATCTCTTACCGGACTAGAAGTAAAAGACCCTAACTGATCTCTCTCTTAACCAAATCGCTTTCCTGCCCTCTAACCTATTTTCTAGTCTGCACCAGTTGATCTTTTCTAAACATATAATGTTAAAATCTTCCAACTGCTTTCAATCGCACTGAAAATGAATGAGAATTTCTTACTGTAGTTTATAAACTCCTATGGGATCCTAGCCCCTGCCTAAGTCTATTGCCCCATCTCATAAAACTAGATTATTCCGCTCAAAGGCCTATGTTCCACACAAAATGGGCATCATAGTTAGAACTGACCCCAGGAAATGGAGAATACCCTTTGATTTCTCTGGCAAGGGTTATAAGCAAGGTCAATGATCAAAACAAATTCTACCAGTGGGAAGAAACCAGGGTAACCAGTGTGGTCAACTAAGGAGTTTGTTGTATTTTATCAAAGTAAGATAACAGCTGTCCTTGAGATTCTCTGGCTGTTCATTTTCCACTACAGCATCACTCAGCTACAAAACATGGGGCATGTTCTGGGCCAGTGACCACTAAGTGTTACTCTTCCATTGCACATTTTTCTAAGCATTATTTAACATTTTAAATTTCTGATATCTAATTCCGGGTTTTATATTGGCTGTGGTCAAATTTACCAATTATTCCACAGTTTACAGGATTACAAATAGCCACATAAAGTCCTGATGATAATAACCATGACCTGAGATTTCAGCATTGAAAAATGGTGTAATTTTGTATTACTGTAATTCTGGAACTTAACCATATATATGTATTAAGAGCAGCATATATTTGTAACCATATGTTTGCATTAAGAGCTAAGAGTGACCAATTTTTAAAATAATAGGCATGGAAATCAAGGTACATAGATGTGTTGGACAGAACCTGTAGCTCTAGACCATAGCAAGAATCTATAATACCACCTGCCAATTACCATTCTTCTTTCTGCTGAGTTGGACCCATGTCTCTATGCCTATAATATGAGCAACGATGCTTGATGATGACAATGATAATGATGATGGTTGTGATGATCATGATGATAATGCTAATATGTTGAGTTTTGTGCTAGCACTGTGATAACTCTTCTACATGCATTGTCTTATATTAAAAACGGTGTTTAAGTCTGTGTGTCTGAAACCTGGTTCTAATACTTATTACTTGCATGACTTTTGTCATGTTACTTAAACTCATCACACCTCAGATTTGCTATCGTCAAAATAAAATAAGTCACTGCAATGTACACGACTATTACTTTGTATTGATAAAAGTGTAAAATAAAATCAACAACAATACCTTGTGGGTCAGGTATTAATGAAGACCAAGTGATATAGGTCCGTATTTGAAAATATCACAGACAGTAGGGCACAAAGCCAAGCTAGATCCTTATATTTGACCTTTATACCTTGTTATTCCCATTACTGAATTCATAGATGCTTGGTCCAACATTGGGTTTCTGGCTTAAACAAGGTAAATCAGAGTCCATTCCCAGGATTTTTAAAACTCCAATTAGAAAAGACTATCAGTTGCTTTTTGAAATTGAAGATTTTATATCTGAATTCAGGAGATATTATCACCCACACAATTTATTCAGGTTGAGGGGGTTTAGTCAGGGTGAAAGAGAAAATGAAAGAGAGAGAAAGAGAGAGAGAGAGAGAGAGAGAGAGACAGAGAAGAGAGAGAGAATATAATACTCAAGCCCCTAATTCTAGTTTTCATGATAAGGAAATGCCGAACTGCTTCTTTGCTCCTTTTGTTATTTTCTTTTCCACACTTAATTTGATTGTATAACCCAATGACTTTTTTGCCTACTAGTTTGAGATTAATTTCCATTGCTTAATAGATCATAGCCATTATCATCTCACATCTTCTAAATTAAGTATCATACAAATTAAAACCAATTTGATAACAAATAAAATCAATTCTGAAATACCAAGTGAACAATGATTTTCATCCAAGAATAATCAACTTATTATATTAACAGGGAGACATTGTTTCAAAATTCTGGATCAGATTATCCTATACGTAACATGTGTTATCTAATTTTGCAATATCAAGTTTCAATGCTATTTTTTTCTTATTATTTTAGGAAATAAATTTGTTCTTAATTACCATGTAAAATGCTTTTATTTAGAGCGTGTACTCCTCAGTCTCAAATAAATTTGAGTGTCCTACTAGATTAATTGTTGGAAAAAAATAGTTATTGATTGGAAAAGATCGACATGGTGCTAAGTATTGCAAGACACAATCCTAAGTATATTTGGTACCATATAATTTGCCTTGAGGCAACATTTCAATCTGATGGATGAGGAGGATTGTAAAGAGGAAGATAGGGGGCAGAGGAGAAAAACAGTTTACTAAAAATGATGGATTATGAGAAGTACTCTTTAAAATATGTAATTTCATACACGTATGTATATGTTAATAAATATTCTACTTTTATTAGTCTTAAGGACTATGGAACATTTGCTGTGATAATATGTATGCTGTAGAACTTATTTTTCAAAATATTTAGTGTTTTAAATTACAAAAATATTAATATGTATCTGATTGTTTTATAGTAATTTTAAATTAGCTGCTAAATTCCTGTTTAGTCTACTTGAGTTGTATATGTCTTTCTACTTATCTATGTGATAAATGAGTTTTTCATGACCGTTCACTGATATAGAAATATAATGTATATATAGTACATAATAAAATTTAAATAATGTCTGGAATAAGTATTTCAGTTTACACGTTGTGGGAAAGTGAAACTCAAGCTAATACAGCCATTTTTTTTCTCCTTACTCTTTAGGAAAAACAAACAATACATTGAATTTGACAACCCACTGAAGTTGCAGATAATGAGGACTTACCATTATATACCATTATTCATCTGGACCTATATGTTCCATACAGTTGACACCATCCTATTACAAGAAAAACCTAACAGTTATTTATCAAGCAAAAAGATAGCGGGTCTGACAAAAGATGACGGTAAAATGCTACGTCGCACCAAGCGTGGCTGGATGTGGAATCAGTTCTTCTTATTGGAAGAGTACACAGGTACTGACACACAATATGTAGGCAAGGTAAGAATTTTTGTATGAGAAATCTAAAAGCTGAAAGTGACAGCTATTTATTTTTTTCCAGCAACTTTTCTTTTCACTAGTGATTATTAAAAAATATTTAACTAATTATGTTCTGAAGGTGTGATATTGCAAACTATTTTAGTGGGGAAGAACAAGGAACCATATTTGGGTTCTAAATGTAAATCAATGTCAATAATAAGCGTAAACTACTAAGTCATATGTGGATGGATGTGATTCATTATTAATCAGCTAGATATTATTTAATCATATGTGTATTATCTAAATAAAACTCTCCTTGAGATCGATTGATAGTTTTTCATAATTAGGAATAGTGTACTCTGTATGAGAAATAAAATACTTCTAGATATTTCTATTTCTTAATATCTGCTAGGGTGAGCTTCCTGCTTCCTGCTTGTAATCTAGACAAAAGTGTTTAAGGCAGAAGGATAAAGACAAGATTTAAAAAAATGAGAAAGAAGACACTATCTTTAAGAAGATAAGCTTCTGTGTTAGTAGGAACAAAGTTGCTCATTACCAGTCAGAAGCAGACAATAATAGAGAATATGTAACTCCCTTCTTATGTTCAATTTTGAGGAAGCAGATTCATTGCCTCTCTTTCATTGGTGTTTAGAGACTTCTTTTTCTTTAGCTCATTATCTCTCCAATTTTCTTTCTTTAGTGGCGTGACCTTTCCAACATCCATAATTTTCTATGTATCTATCATCCTTTTCCTTACCAATCACATTCATACTATTCTAAACTCAGGACAATTCATTTGTTAACTATAATTGTTCCCAATTTACACCCAATACTGAGGAATGTTAAAATTTTTACAACAAAACGAACAATTTTAAATACTTGCAGTCTACAGATCATAAATTTATTTATTTTTTGAGTCATGGCATATATGTACTTGGAGAGACTGTAATGGTTTGCATATTGTTTGACTCACTGACAGCACCAGGCACATAAATTAGATCAGGCCAAAAATGAAAAAAAAAAAAAAAAAAAAAAGAATACAAGTGCCTAATATCACAAATGTCATGCTTGTAGCTTTTAAAACAGGAATACATTTGCTCTGTGAAATTGCCAAAATTTTGATCTAATTCTTCTTTCTGTGTGTGGGCCAATCAAAAGCAGCCTCCTTTATCAGAAGCCTATTATTTTCTCTTCTTTTGACATTTCTCTTTTCTGGTTCCATAGGTCATGCTCATTCCGCCCCATTCAGTTCCCTTGCTGGTTCCTTTTTGCCTGTTATTTCTTCTCAGGTTAGTCATATGGCATCCTCAGGCATCCCTCATTTAACATCACTTTTCACACTACAGTTAATAACTAACATCAGGAAATTCAAGTTCAGCTAGCAAATGTTTTTTGTCTAAGGATGTGAAATTGCCTTACGATTCTCCAAGGAAGTGTATAAAGGACACATTGAGGTCACAGGGCCTTACAGAATCAGTTTTATCCTTGGAGATTCACAGATACAGAAGAATAGCCACAGATAAAAGAGTCGCTCATAATCCTAAGGCAGTTAAGGCGCTACAGCAAGCATTTATTTTAAGCTGAAAACAAAAATACTTCCTCTAAAAATTGAGTGTACATTAATTAATTTCTAAATTGACCACCATTCTTGTTCTCACATTTTAAATATACATTATAGTTTAAAATTTTGTGTGCAATCATGCTTCCTTTTTAATTAATTCCATAATCTGTCATAAACAATTACTAAATGTACATGCATAGCTTTAATTACCTTTCATATTTTTTTCATTTTTGTTGGAAAAATGGCATTTTGGATTTATGCGTGGACAAGTTAGGATGTGCGAATTTTTTGCCAATTTATTCTTGACAACGGGGTTATGAACCACAAATGGAACACTCATTATAATATCAGATGTTTGGGGGAAATAAATACAATGAAACCAAAACCACCTGTCAACTATTTCTATGTTTCCAGTAGGAAATAATATGTATATGAAATAGACACCTCAGCAAAATAAAATACTTATACTACTTTTTAAAGAAAAAACTCTTTCTTTTTTTTAATAGGGACTTATCTAAGATATTCCATTACCACATAGCTAGTTCATTATAAAAGTGGGCTGACTTTCAACCACATCTTAGCTTTTACTAACTTATTAAGGGCATTTACTCTCTCTTTATCCTGCTTTTCTGGCTTTTGACATCACTATTTATTTGCATATATAGTGGCTAACTGGACCCTTAACTCTAAACTTAGTCAAACATATGAGTTCTGATAAGGATTTAACTTCTTGAGCACCTCACAGATTGTCTTTTTGACCACAGTGTTTCTGGTCTCCCTGGGTAGACCTCAACCTAGTCTTCCAGGATCCATTGATAGCATCCCCTGTAAAGAAAAGGCCTGTCGTATTCACCACGGACCAGGATTGGGAAAGGCTAAGTAGCTTCTAATGGGAAGAAATTTACATGGTTTCTTTATAGTTTTATAGAAGCTGGGAATCATAGAAAATGATAGACAACATATTAATTTACAGGTGCTGTAAAATTGCATGAAATTGGGAAGATATATTTTTAAAGGTTAAAACGAGGGTTTGATCCTGAATTGAGAGGAAGCAGTTTTAGAAAAATAAAATAGTGCAGAAAAATTTAATAAATTATATACATGTATACACACAAACATGCAACTTATAAGATTTAGTCTTAATTGTGACACGTAGTAAATATTATAATTTAGAAGCTGTTTAAATTTGACAACCCTCAGATTCTTGTTGGGTTGATTTACATTGTCATTAAGATTTCTTTAACTCCAAATTTCTGGTCTTTTCTAAGATTTTGGAAAGGCCTGCCATTAGGGACAAGAAGAGCTAGAAATATTTTCATAAATATGTGCATGTGGACAAATCTAAGAAGGTAGAATTGCGTGTATATAGCACAATAAAAGAAAAAAAGAGGCTGGTCTAATAGGATAAAGTTAGACCTTCACTGTGAAAGGTCCAGAATTCTAGGATTGGTTGTTTTTGCATACAGCATGAAATGTAAATAATCTGTTAAAAGCCTTTGTACAAATCAGTTATGTTGGGAGCACAGAACTGAAATAATGAGTTTTCTTTCATTGTCAGGATGGATTAGAAGAGTAAGAAAATGAGTTAAGATAATTTTAATAAGGCAATACTGCAGAATTTTTTATGGCATTTCAGACATTTGCAATATAGGAGAGAAGTCAGAAATGTTGGAATAAATAGCAAGTTTTTGTTTTTCGCAATAATGCAATTTGAAATTTGGTTGGTCATTCTTGACTGAAACTATCAGAGATTTACAAATATTGTTTTATGTAATAAGCGAAATGTTGTACTGTTCCCCAAGAAGGAAAAAAAGTCATAATAATTGTCATCTAGCTTCTCTATAACTTGAAGAGACACTTGTGACTGAATTATTTAGGTAGAATTGCAATACTGCTCAGGAGAGAAATTAAAATAACAAGAAGCATAGCAAATGTCCCTACTATTCTGTTAGAGAATCTTTATAGCACTTTATTTTGTTATACATAAGTTCAAAGTCCAGAATAATCCCTGCTTATCATGGATCAATAATCAATTAACTATATCCCAATTAGTAATGAGAATTGAATAGAATTTACCTATTTGATTTTAATATCTGGTTGTTAAACCACATTTATTTTATGAAGAGAAACCCAATACCCAGACACAGCAGACATAGTATTTATTTTTCACAAGGAATAAAATGGTGTTTATTTTTCACAATTGTGAAGATTCATTTAGTAATTTGGAATATCAACTTAATTGACCATTACATTTTAATTTAAAAATATGTATTTAGCACTTGCTTTGTGCAGAGCAAGGAACGTGGAGCTAATGAGCCATCTATAGGTAGCCACTATTAAATAAGGTATCTTTATTGCAGAGTTACCTCTCAAGTCTTTATAATTTTAATTTAGAAACTTTTGTTATCCCATTCTGAAATCATGAATGTAATCATAGATTCTAGAGTGGAAAGGGATTTTAACATTGATTGAGCTCTGCCTTCATGGTTACAATTGGTTTATCTGTTACCTAAAACAACAGGAAACACAGTTAACAAAAGAAAAATTGGTAGGAATCTGTTTTATATTTGATTGTGTATCAAAAGGTGGAGTGACACTTTCACGTTTACATATGCTAGTTTGTGCACTAAGTATTAATATATAGCTGAAGTATATATAAAATAATGGACTCGAATAGGTAACTTTTTCTTAAGCTTTTCAGGTATGTCAGTTTGATATGTAGAAGTAACTGATGGAATATAAATTAGAAATAGAAATAGAAATAAAATCTCAAATTTATTTAAAGAGTTTTGATGAGTTGTTATAGTATATCACAGTGTTTTCCAGAATCTAAGTAAAATATGTTTATAAAGGTTTGAAAGTATCATTACTTATAGTGCAGTACATGGAGCAGCTGCTTTTGATTTGTAAATACATTGTATTCCAAAATTCTCTTTATGAATTAGTTGTTTATAACTCAGAACACACACAAAAATTAAACATTATGACTACGCTTTAAGGACAGCATACTGAGGCGAGTTTAACACTGAATTCTATAAAAACTCACTGTTAGCATATAGCTCCATGTTTTATTTTTCACTGCCAATACTGTGTAATCACTTTGCTGGAAAACTGCTTTAGCACACTAAACTTATCTTTTCCTTGACTTTATTTATACTTATTTTTGTAATGATCAGAAGCAGTTTATACAATATCTCTTGAATAATCCCATTCTCTAGCACAAAAATACCTCTAGAAAATTAACTGAAATTCACTTAAGTTGAATTCAAATTGTCCGTTAGTATTCTTGGAAATTCCAGCCTATGTTCTATGTCCCCATAACTTTGTAACCTGAGTTCTAGTCAACATGATATTTCTTCTTCCACACACCTGACCTTTTGTTCATCACATCCGCAGACCCCTTCCCAGGGAGTATCTTACCCACTTTTCCATAATCTCATATCTGTTTGTTGTTGTTGTTGTTGTTCACTCTATGTCTTACCACAACTTCTGTGCACAATCTTACATAAAACCCATTTCATTTTCCCTAGCTAGAATTATCCCTCAAAACTATGAGATCATCTCTTAAAATCTTATTCATAGACCAGGCGCGGTGGCTCACGCCTGCAATCCTAACACTCTGGGAGGCGGAGGCGGGTAAATCACGAGGTCAGGAGTTTGAGACCAGCCTTGCCAAGATGGTGAAACCCCATCTCTACTAAAAAAAAATACAAATATTATCCAGGTGTGGTGGCAGGTGCCTGTAATCCTAGCTACTCGGGAGGCTGAGGCAGGAGAATCACTTGAACCCAGGAGGCGGAGGTTGCAGTGAGCCAGTGAGCCGAGATCGAGCCTGGGCGATGGAGCAAGACTCCATCTCAAAAAAAACAAAAAAACAAAAAAACAAAAAAAACTTATTCATAGCACAAGTTGAATTATTTGGATACATCTTCTACATTGTCTCCTAGTTTCTGTGACATTTGGGCTTTCACTCTGTGTTGGATTTCTTTCCCCAAATTTTTGACAATATAGGTTTACTCAAAATTAATATTTAGCTACTATTTTAAAAATCTTTATTCTTTATTAATCTGAATCCTGAGAAATTGACATTATGAAAAATAGAAAAAGCAGAGAAAATTTTATAGAAATATATTCCCTTTTTCTGACAAATGGTACATCAAAGTCAAACTTCCTCTTTGCTGTTCTTCTGATTCCTTTCCTATATTTCCATTATATTGGAGGGTTCTCATAACTGTGAAGCCATTTAAAAAATATTAAGTGTGGTAGAAAATGGTTCTTAATATGGCTACCAAGTTGTATGTTTAATTTTGTTTTACACTTCCACCACTGATTTCAGTGTTTTTGAACTACTTCTAATATTCCAACTCATCTTCTAAACTTGCACATGATCAAATCCACCTTTATATATACACTCATCAATAAGGAAGGAAGGGAGGAAGGGTGGGAGGGAGGGAAAAACTTGCAGATGATCGAATCCACCTTTATATACTCATCAGGAAGGACGAGACGGAGGGAGGGAAACAACAAGTGACAGAAGTGACATTATCTTCAGAAGGGTATGGAGAGAGGGATGGGGAGAATTATTTATGTACAAGGCTGTAAATGATGATGATGATGATGATGTCATTATGAAAGCAGTATGTGCTCCCTGTTAAAAACCAGGAACATAAAATTTAAAAATCATTTTAAAAAACCTAAGATATTTATAATGATTTCACTAAGACAAGGGTAAGTTGTCTAAATATTTTTCTACCTATTTATTGGTTTTATTTTTGACACTGTTGATTTTCTATTGTTTTTATGCCTGTTTTATCTTGCTTTTCTCTGTCAATGCTACATTTTGGCATACTGTTAAAATGTTAGTATTAGCCATGTCATATTATGTCATATATAAAATCATAAAAATTTAAAATTTTTCCACACATTTTGTTTAGACTCTCTGGTTTTATACATGCAAGCATGTATAAAAACATGATCCACCTGCCTCTGCCTCCCAAATATTTTAGCTGATATTTTTAGTACAGTTGGCTCTCCATATATGTGGATTCCACATATGTTTATTCAGCCAACAGTAGACTGAAAATATTCAGAGAAAAATAAAGGATTGTTGCACCTTTAGTGAAAATGTACAGACTTCTTTTTCTTGTCATTACTCCCTAAACAATATAGTATAACAATTGTTTACATTGCATTTAGAGGGTATTAGGTATTACAAGTAATCTAGAAATGATTTTAAGTAAACAGAATGATGTGCATCGGTTAAATGTAAATTCTGCACCATTTTATATAGGGACTTGAGCATTTGCACATTTTGGTATCTGCAGGGATTCCTGGAACCAATCACCCACGGATACCGAGGGATGATTATGTATTATAAATTATCCTTTTTAAGGCTAGATTACTGGAGGGAGAATTCTCAAAATTGAAATATACGAATAATTTTAAAGTTCTGGGTACATATTAGCCAATGGCATTTCAAAAATTTATACCTCTTCTCTTCCACCAACAAAAAACCAATGTACCGACATGGGGCGTTAGTTATGCTAGATATTTGTCTGGTTGGGACTGTATTTTAATGTGAAATTTAGTCCTGTGTAATATTATGGTTCAATTAATTTTGAAAAAACTGAGCACCTACAGTGTGGAACACTATCTTAAGTCCTAGAAATCATAGTAAATAAGATTAATTGGTCCTTATCTTAAAGAATTTCTCTATTATAAATGCAATGCTATTATTGCTCATTGCTGTGAGAAAGACCTGCTAATAGCCTCAGTTCAGAAAAAGTAGACATTTTTTCTTCTGACTCAATAGACTGAATTCCTAATACATAAACTGTATTTAGCTTAATTTTGCACTAGAATCATCTCCAAATTAATAATGTATGCATGTTTGTTTGTTTAGAAACTACCATGTTTCCTTTTTCTGATGACCAGACATTTGTACCAGATATTCACAAATATTGCAACTGTACTCAAGCAAATCTTTTATAATTTCTGCATTATAAATCCTAATAACTGATATTAAGAGTCTTATAGCTGCAGTGGTGGTGTTTATGGAAAAAATGCCAGGGAAATATTGTGAAAATATCTAACTTTCTTTAAACATTTTTTTCAGGTAATTGGGGTCACTTTAGATAGACAATTGAGTATACACTTAGTAAAATTTACTCAGTAAATATTCTAATTCGTAGCCAGAATTTCCAAGGAAGGTGATTACTGATTCATCATATCAGAAATTTATGTTAAAAACAGAAGCATAAAAAAAGTGTTCAATAATAATGAATAAGTGAGTGACTAGGCAAATCTAAGAAGATGCCTTTTTTTCTACAAAAAGAGAAAATATTTGTACATGACTATTTTGTGAAACTTCCAACTTCCTCAATATTTTCCAATAACAAATGTTTCTCTTGAAAAACTATAATAATATTCTCCCACAGATTTTTTAGAAAAAACTACATTTTAAAACTACTTTGGTAAATGTTTCTTATATACTTGAATGTTTATTACATACTTGCTGGGTATAGTATTCTTAGGAAAAGAATTTTAGGAAAAATTTAACAATGGTGTTCAATTCTCTAGCATTCCATATTTTGTGTCTCCATATTTAAATTCTTCCTGGGAGTAAGAGTTTTAAATGCTCCATTTAAAAATGTTTCTCTTTACCACTGTCATTTTTTTCTCATTTATTTTAATACAGTTATTAGGTACATATCTAATGATCTTTCTTTATATTTCTGATTAAATATTTCATCATTATGAATACCAACCTTTACCTGTGATAATACCACTTACTTGAGGTTAACTTTGCCTCCTAAGAGTTTACCCACACAACTTTTCTCATGAGTGTGCTTGTGTGGTTTATCTTTTATCATTCTCTTGCTCTCAGCCTTTCTGTATAAGTCTATTAAAAATCCAGCTGTAAGGATTTATTGTCATATAAAGGGCTCAGAGTTGGTTTATTCTTTTTACGCAATCTGACAATATTTGGCATTTAATTGGCTTAAACCCATTCATATATAATGCCATTATTGATATATTTGGATTTAAGTCTGCCGTTTTCTTGTTTTCTGTTCCCCCCAGTTGTTCTTTATAACTTTGTTTCTGTTTTTTTAATTTTTTTCTATCATCTTTTGGAACAATTAATCATTTTTTTAAACATCTATGTTTATGCTCTTTATTGGCTATTCTTGGCTATACTTCTTTGTGTTTTTATGTTTTTAGTCTGTATTTAAGGCATCTCAGGATTCATTATTAATTTGTTACAGTATAAATTGAATTAATAGTGTATATTTTAGCATATAATACACTCATCTTACAATAGTATAATTTATCTTGCAAGACTTTGTTCTATTTTTGTCATATATTTTTCTTATATATATTGTAAACTGCATAATGCATTGTTAATGTTTATTATTAAACAATTCATTATTTATTTTAAAACTTTTAGAAATAAAGATAATCTTTTCTATTAATTTATATAAATATGTCTAGTCAGTGCTTTTTATTCTTATCTATAGTTCAGAATTTCTGTGTGACATCATTTCCCTTCAACTTGAAGGATTCTTTCAGCATTACTTGTAGTGTGGGTCTGCTGGAAACAAGTTTTCTTAGCTTTTCGTTAATAGAAATATCTTTATTTCATTTTCATTTTTGAAAAATATTTTAACTGGATATAGAACCATGGATTAATCTGACAGTTTATTTTCCTTTTAGCACTTAAAATTGTTGTTACATTGTATTGTGAATTATATTACTTTTAATCAAAAGTTAGCGGTTATTCTTATTGTTGCTGCCCTATATGTAATATGTTTGTTTTTCTGGCTGCTTTTAAAGTTCTATTTATATCTTTGCTTTCAGTATTCTTAATTTGATACCTAACTCTGTTTTTTTTTCTTTTTAATTCTGTTTGAAATTCACTGGCCTCCTTAGATCAGTGAGTTGTTTTCATTGGATTTTAAAATTAAATGAGCATTTAAAAAAAAAGTTATTTTTGTGGCCACTATCTCTTCCTTTTAGAAACTTCAAATACAAGTATTTTAGGGCATTTCATATCATCCCATAGTTGGAAACTATTTTTGGTTAATATAATATTGTCTCTGTGCTTAAATTTGGAAAATTTATTTTCAGATTTATTGTTTCTTATGTTTCTGTGTCTAATCTACCATTATACATTTTTAATTCAGTTATTATAATTTCAGTTCTGGGTTTCCTTTATTATCTGTTAGAATTTTTACATATTTTATGGCATTTCCCATGTACTTCCAATTATTTTAGTATTCTCTATAAATTCTTCAATATATTGATGTCAATTATTTATAAGTCTTTGTCCCACTAAATTCAATATCAGGGTCTTCTTTAAGTCTATTTCTATTCACTATCTTTTTTTTATTATGTGTTAGAATGTTTCTGTTTTTTTACTCTCTAGAAAGCTTAGATTATATACTAGACATTGTGATTAACACATTACAGAAATTCTATTATCTTGCTTTAAAGAGTGTTGAGTTTCGTCCCAGCAGGAAGTAAAATTGCACTGGATGCTACTTTGATCCTGTGTAGGTTTGGTTTTAGAAATTTCTAGGCAGGCTATTATTTTGTTTATTCCCTGAGTCCTGTAGTGTAACCCTTCTTAGTACAGCTTCCTTAATCTTAAGTTATTACTCTACTAATGTTTCACTGAAAACCCCAAAGTGTTTACCAAGCACATCTACTTAAAAGGAACTTGAATTTTAAACTCTTCTCAGTATCTGAAGTGCTTCAAATGTCTCTGAGTTCTTACTTGTGTCTTACTGTGTACATGTTCAGTTTAGGTGTCATGCATGTGTATGCCAATTTTAGGGTCACCTCCTCTGTGGCTTCCTCCATTCCTGGATCTTTCTCCTTTCAATTGTTAACCAATATGGCAGCCTTGAATCCTGACCCTTAATTCTTAAACTTCATATTTTACATGACACATGAAATGAAGTATTCCCTCAAAGAAATTAATGTAGAATTCTTTTTATCCTCTATTTGCTTGTAATCTTTCCAGTCTTTGTTTGCTCCTGGTTATTATTTAGTGCCATATATATATATATATATATATACACACACACACACGCACACATATATATCTCTATATAAAATTTTAATATACTTTGTAGAATGTTACTTATTGAAAACAAAACGGTCAATTATATTTGATGTCAATACCAAACTGCCTTAATTATTGAGGCATTATGGTTTTATTTTTCTGTCTGGTCATGTAAGCTCCCCAACTGTAGTCCTCCTTTAGAAGATCACTGTGACTTTCAAAGTCCTTTAGATTTTCATAAAATTATCTTGCCAGTTTCCATTAGTCTGAGAAACTGTTTGAGAATAAAGAAACTAACATGAAATGCCTATTTAAGAAAATGTATAATCTTGCATTGAATTTTGAATTTAAGTTAGAAATTGTCATAATGGCATTACTAGAACAATGGGCATATTTGAAGATGGACTGTTTCTTCTAATGTGGAATATAATTCTATTGTTAAAATTATTTAATTTAAATGTATAATAATACTATGATTATATTAGACTATTTCCTTGTTCTTAGAGTATAGATTCTGAAATCTTCATTTAGTGGTATAAACAAATAATATATCTGCAAATAAGAGATAGTAATTTTAGTAAATATAATACATACAATAATACAGATAACAAAATATTTTATGCTTACTAATATTTATAAATTGATAAGAAAAACATAAGAGAAGATATAAATTAAACCAAAAAGACTTAATAGATAATTCACAAAAGATGATATCCAAGTGGCCAGTATGCATAATAAGATGTTCAACAATTAAAAAATGCTAGAAACATAAAAGGAAGCAATATATGGAGAAATCAAATATGCATAAAAATTAGAAGGCTACTTGAGCTCAGGAGTTCAAGACCAGCCTGTGCAACATGGCAAAACCTCATCTTTACACAAAAATACACAAAATTAGCCTGGTGTGGTGTCCTGCGCCTGTGGTCTCAGCTCTTTGGGAGGCTGAGGTGGGAGGATTGCTTGAGCCCGGGAAGCAGAAGTTGCCGTCAGCCAAGATCGCACCACTGCACACTAACCTGGGTGAGACCCTGTCTCAAATAACAAAACAAACAAAAAATTAGAGGACTGTAAAATAACCTAAAGATTAAATGTTATCACAATCAATATGCCTGTGTATTTTTGGTAACTTAACATTTTTCAATCTTATAGGAAGGTCACTCAAATTCTGCCAACTTCTGTATACTCTTTAGCCAGATTCACTGATTATCAATATTTCATCCAATCTGTTTCATCACTATTTCTGTTCATATAGAGTTTATGTTAAGGTAGAAATAGTTCAGGTTTGTCATTACGTCTAGAACTTGCCCCTGCTTGAGATCTACAGAACTTTTGAAGCACTCTCAAATTCACACTAACTTGGTGGAGGATTGAACTCCAATTTCTTTTTCCTCCTCATTAAATTTCTGTTTATTTCCTTAGATTTCTTGCCAACATTTTCTACTAAGTGACTTGGATTTCTGTCTTGTGCATGTGAAGTTTAGACAACAACAAAACAGTTGGGCATTTTAAAAAGAGACCTGGAGGTTTCACTCTCTGTGACTCCTCTCTAAGATCGTGCCTTCCAATTTCTTACCACTGTCTCAGGCTTAAACGCTAACCTCGGTCTCCTCAGCACAATAATATTGCTTCTCTCTGTTTGAGCTCTATCTATACAGTCTCTACTACCCATAACTGGGAATTACCCTCAGAGGGAAAGCCTGGTTATGATATAGGCTATAAGAAGCTTAAATTAAGGCCATAAATTTTGCAGTTCTTCCTCTTTGGTTGGTGGCCAGTGTCAATAAATTTTTGTCTATCTGTATATTTGTTTGTTTGGGTCAGACTTTCTTAATAATCCTCAATGGGTATATCTGTCCAACACAACAACTTTGTGAAGAGAAAAACCTGAACACCAGGATTGCTTTTGAGAAACACAGCACAATGTGAATATGCATGTGTCACACTAAGGCTTATAATATTGTAGTATTTAAAAATTTTTCAAATGTGCTAAGTCAAAATAAACTCTCTTGTTGTTTACCCCAAAGCTATACTTACTATTTCAGTTCATGTTTCAATTCATTAGGTAGAGAGTTTTATATCATAGGTGATGGTATGACTCATTCTCTTATTTCAATATGTCACTCTTAAGAATAAGACTTTCTATATTTTGAGGTGCTCCAGCATGTTAAGAAACATGAGAGTTCAATGCTTCCTTATTGGAAAATAATTCAAACCTTCAAATTGGAATCTGCTTTGGCGGTATGTAAATATTTTCTAGTCACTTCCGGTCTAGATCTCGCAAGTCTATTTGAGGGTCACATCCCTTCTTTTCTGGTAACAATGTCTCAAGTGGCTGTGAAATCAGGAAGTAGCTTTCCTTCTTTCCAGGGCAATTCTGTGAGCACTTCCACTCACATGTCAATCAGAAAGTGAGGGCAGATGTCAAAGGTCATAGTCAGCCTTTATCTTGTAAACTTTCTGTTTTTTTATTCTATTATATGTATATAACAGATATGGGGCTAAGGGTGGGGAAAATGGAGAGCTGTTGGTCAAAGGGTCAAAACTGTTAGTGATAGGATGGATAGATTCTAGAGATCAAATGTACAGCATGGTGACTACAGTTACAATACTCTGTTGTATACTTGAAATTTGCGAAGAGAGTAGATATTGTTTTCTCAACACACACGCACACACACACACACACAAAAGGGTAACTATATGAGGTGATGGATATGTTAATTAGGTTAAGTGTGCTCACTTCATAATTTATATGTATATCAAAACATCATATTGTACACCTTAAGTAGATACATTTTGTATTTGTCATTTGTATACCTCAATAAATCTTGAAAAAATCAAAATAAATTAACACTCATGTCACTGTTTTGTCTTTTGTATTTTATAAAAATACTCCCATCAATATCCATTCAGACAAGTTTATTCCTGAAACTATAGAAGCCTCACCAGCCAGTTCAGTGCCTGGCACACATTTACACTCAATTCATTGTTGATTTTAATCTAGGTTCTTTGAG